>NC_000013.11:69165681-69317196 GCF_000001405.40 Homo sapiens | reverse complement strand
TTAAATACTCTGCTAAATTCAGTGGTCTTTTGAATGTAGCACAGTTTTACGACCTATGATGTGACTAAATGAGAAATCAGAGCCATGAAACATGAACAAAAATCAAGAAGAACAGAATCTGCAATCAATTTGGGAAAGATGTTAAAAGTAAAATAACTACTGATGGAAGGATTTGAAATTGCTTTGAAAAAATGGAAGCCAGCATTTCTTAATCAATCTTGGGATAGTTGGACACCTGATTTAAAAGGACGACTGATTGACTTCAGAATCTGGTAAGCAGTCGGTGAAATTTAGTCATTAGAGTGTTATTATTTCATTCAAGGTTACTAATTCACCTTTTAACATAACTTTAATGCCTTCTCTTCATTTGTCAGTTATTAGCTTTTGCCCTAGGTTGGATTTTAATTACATTTACTTTCTTTGTCATTAGATGTGATTTGCTAGGTCATTCTGCCACTTCAAAAATCAGTTGATGAGACAGCTGATGTACTTAATGAAACTTAGAGATGATTTTGTGTGAAATGATTCTCTCATTGTTATTTCAGTTCAAAATATGTTATAGTTTCTTTCTTGTCATATTCAGGATTAAAAAATTAATACGTGTGTCTTCAAGAAAGAATGTATAGACTACAACAATATTTTGACTGTGATAATGCCGTTCTGCTAAGATAGTTTATTATGGTGAGAGTATTACCGCAGAGAAAATCTTTTTTGTCATTGCCACTCAATGCTATTGAGAAACCCTTTTAATCCAAATAATTAGTGATAGGCAACTTAAGCCAAAGACAATATATACTTTGTCCTATAATTTTTTTTCTTATAAAAGTTTTTGAGTGTTTATCCAGTTATGAGTTAAATCATTTGATACATATGTGCATAATACATATGTACATATAAAACAGTGCTTAGGGATATATACCCTTTAGGATTCTTATGACATTTTATGTGTGTATATAAATATGGATATATGTATGGCTGTTTGCAGCATACTAAAGGAAATACCAGTGTAAAAAGTAGTGGAATGTAGCATGAGAATTGAGTTGCTTTGTCTAGTGTCACTAGCCACATAAGCATTAGACAACATGGGATAAGATGGCATAGCGATGCTATGAGACAGTGGTGCAGGCTCTTGAAACAAAATGTTTGAATTCAATTTCAAACTTTTGTACTTATATAAGAATGAATTGGCAGAACTTCTTCTCTTTGTCTTAGTTTCCTAATCTGCAAAATAGGGATTATTTTATAGATTAGGAGATATTTTTATGAAGCTAATACAAACATGAATTTTGTTCATATGTAGATACATTACTTATAATATTTCCTGGAAAAAATAATCACTCCCTGAATGTTATCTATTACTGTTATTACTATCACATAGCAACATTTTAAATTTTAATGTCAATTTTTCCTCATAGATTACATGCATAAGTTATGAGCCAAGGTTGTTTGCTAAAATATCTGCAATCCATAAATCATTCTTTTCTGATTTGTCTCCGCCTCCTATCTCTAGTCTACCTTGCGATGGTCTTAGGGTACAGCTGTAGCACTAATGACCTGGAGGTCAATGACACAGTTCCTGTCTCTCTTAATCTGTGAGAGGCACCAAAATGAGGGAGAACTATCAAGATCTAAGAACATGTCTTTTTTGTATTGTTCAGTAGCAAAACTTTGTGAGGAGCACAATGTGGGAATATGATCATTCAGTTTATGGTAGTAATTATTCAGAGACCAAAGTAGATATTCTTTTTCAACAGTTCAGGATTAGTAAATTCTGGTTCTCGGAGTGAGAGATGGATTCTCAGCAAGACTCAGTCCTCTGTTTTGTACCTGGATATTGATTCTCATAATGTCATTGATGGACATTAAAATAGTATTTTTTCTCCTTCTTGGCTCTGAGTCAGCTCTTCAAATGACCGTGAATTTATACTGAGCCAGAAGTGCTGAAGAAAGCTTCATTGCTGGTGGATAAAGTGCAACATCATCATTCATTTTTTAATTTAGGCTCTGCTTAAAGTGTTGGAGGTTGTAATCAATTACATTAACACATGAGGCAATTTGACTCATTTGAGCAATTTTAATCAGGATTTCATCCTCATCATAGTGCTGAGACTGCTGTATTGAAAGAAAATAATGACCTTTTGATTGCAACAAGGGACGTTGTCTTTCATGATTTTGTTGGACCTTTTGGCAGCATTTGATGCAGTTAATCATGACATTTTATTGGCTGGTTTATAGATTTTGGTAGAATTTTCTCAAATAAAATTAAAACCAATTCAAATGTTACCTCTCAGTGATCTATTTAAATGTCTGTTCAGTAAGGTTCTTTGATCTTACTGTAGGATTCTGTAAGAAAAGACCGCCTTGCTTTCCTATTTATATTTTGTACAAATGCACTTTCTTATAAATGAGTATTTTGGACTTTTATAACATCATAGAATGCTTTGGATAGTATTTAACATCTCTGGTTGAAAAATTAGTGAACTGTGTTTGCTGATGAAATACCTTATGTTGGCCAATTGTATTCCTTTATTAGGTATGTCTAGTTACATATCTCTAGCTCCTAATTTGGTTTCTTAGAGGGAGAGTGAGATTATATAGCATAGACAAGCAATAAATAGGAAACACAGTATTCTTCTCTAAGTCCAGATATTTTCAGAGGGGTCTCAGAGGTCACAGTGACCAAATTATCAATAAGGTAGCTCTTGACATCATGTAATACTTTATTTACCTTGGATGCTTAACCGTACTGACATTATATTTTTAATTATGCAGAAAGCAGCTAGAAGCTACTTGATATTGTTTGGCTCAGAGGCGCAGGGAAAATACTAATGTCTTTCATCTTTTGTAATTTCATTGATGAGAAACTTAAAATTTAAATGAATATTAAAGGACCACCAGTTGTCAAATATAAATGTATGTTTCTGGAAGAAAATGGTTAGCAGTAGGCCTACAGATGATTCCCTCAATTCAATGGAGGGGTGCCCCCATGAAACAAAGAAGATAGCCTGGACAAATATACTCATAAATAGTGTAATGACAAACCTCTTGCAAACATGTTACTGGTATTTGCTGGTGAAAAAGCCCTTATCTATAAAATGTTCTTCATATGTTGTACTTGTTTTAATTGCTTAGTATAAGCACATGTAGAGCATAGGGATTTAAGAGCATGGCTCCCTGGTAAAGGTCCTGTATGTTATGTAAATATCAGAGTATAAAATGGAGATGTATTACAACTAAAACAACTCAATTTTTATTTTAATCAATATAGCTGCGAACATTATTTAGGGACTTGATATGCTATTCTGTTCTACTCTTATGTAGCAAAAACAAAAAATGCCTCAAAACAAACAACAACAACAAACAAGACAACTGCAGTGGCAGTCCCTGGACTTCTCTGCTCTGCTTGTATATTGTGATCATTTCTATGGCTCAGATTTTTCATAAACCTCAAGCTCTGAGTGAGTCTGATTAGACAATGCAGTTCTTTTTATTGCAGTTTCTCAGAGGATTGCCAAAGAAATTATGTTTTTACTTATTTTCTATGTCTTTTCTGGAAATAATATAGTATGTATTCCTTAAGATAATGAAATTAAATACTAAATATGATTCATGGATAATTATTTTAAATTGTATTTTAAATGAATGTGGAATTTTGTGTGAATAAGGATCCTTATATAAGTGGTCCTTTTCATTATAGTAGCACTAGTGTTAAACTGCTAATTATATTAACATATTATAGCTAAGCATTAATGTATCTTTTGATAATATTTCTGAATATGTACCTAGGGATTTATAATTTTCAGAACATATTTTTCATTATATTTATTCTAAACAATCTCTTCCCAGTAGTAATTTTTTTTATTTATTATTTACAGTATTCTGTCACCCAAACATTAACACTTTATTCCTTGGTTGTCTGCCTCTTCAACTCCCTAAGCCTGCATATTGTTTTAATCAACCTATTGCTTTTCCCAATCTTACTTCTGAATTTAATGAGACAAAACCATGTGACAATAGCTCTAAATTCACAAAAAATTTCAATTTTACACAGCAATTCAATATCCTTTAATCAAAACCCTCCTTGATTCTCAAAGCCTGCACTTCAGAGACTACATTTTACACAGCAGATATCCTTATTTACAATTAAATAGCTTTAATGAGATATAGACTCCATCAATATTTTACCCTTTCAAACTAGAAAATTATCTGCATTGTAATACCACTTTCCCCTTAACCTTCTATCTTAAATGAAGGTGTTTTTGTTATTCTGAAGTATAATTTCTCCATTTAAAAAAATCTGAAACACATACCTTCTTCCCAATGGGAGTCTTATTCCATCAGTTGTCTTGTCTTCAACTTCATTGTCATTTTTTTCCCTGTCTAATTATTCTTGCCCACACCTCCCTTTTTTAAATACAGTAGAACTTAGATATAAATATAAGTACTGTCATCTTATCATAATGCATCTTGTGTAGCTACTGAAGTATTTGTCTTTTCCTCCAAATCGTATAAGTTCTTAAAAGAGTAGCCTATGGTCTATAATCTCCAATCTTATATTTATTTAATTTTTTAGTACCTTGCCTATTACCCAGCTAGCACTGTTCTTCCCAGTGTTACCAAGGAATTTTCAGTTTCCGATTTCAATAGTTGTTGTGGTGATGGTAGTTATTGTTGTTGCTCTGTATTACCTCATTTTTCTGAAGCATTTACTATTGGTGACCATCCATGTTTTATCTAATTTGTCTAATAAAATGTCTGGTCTCCTCTAACTTCTTTTTATGTTTATTGATTGTATTCTTTCTTAGATCCTCATCTCAATTTGACCACTGAAACTTTAGTGCTTTCTAGGTTCTTTCACTGACCTACTCAATTCGCTTATTTCCTTTGTTATCTTAAGGAGACTCATGGCTTTTTGCCAATACCTAAATGTTGATAACCTCAAATCTCTCTCTTCTCCTACTGCTGTCTTCTGAAATGTAGAACAAAACTTGTAATAACATGCAGGATATCTGTACTTTGATTTATTTAACTTGTCCAAAACTTTACTCATTAGTTGTTACTGTCCTCAAAACATGCACTTGAAGGTACTATCTTTAATCCACTTACTTACATAAGCAGAAGCCCAGAAGTAATCTTGAGAGGTTTCCATTATAGTGTGTCCCAAATTGGTTGCAGGTATAGATTGATATTGTTCATCTCTGCCCTTTTGTCAGATGATTATCTCTCATTAAATGTAAGTTTATCTGTATATTCCAAAATGTTTTGAAATATTATTATTTTGTTTGTATTTTATGGTGTAAAAAATGCTTAGACTCTTCTTATATTCTCATTTATGATATCTTAACAAGTCATTCGACTTGGTCACATCAATATATTAAATACCTCTCAAAACTGCTTCATATTTCCTATTACCTCTACCCCCAATTCTTTTGTTAAGAGCTTTTTCATATCAACCCTGGATTATGGCCAGAGCCATTTAATTAGCCTTCGTGAATCTAATGTACCTCCAAACTCAATCCAATCTCTATAGCGCTGCCAGAGAGCTCTTCAAAACCTAGCGTTCAATTTATTTGTTTAAAAATATCTCCAGATCATTATCCACTTTTAAAAAAGAAAATCACTAAGCCACATAAGAAAAACATTCATATTACAGCAGTTGGCTGTACTGGCAGTCTGGTCCTTTTACCCAAATATTCTAATGGTTCATAACACTTTTCTTCAAGAAAACCTTCACTGATTTCCCTAAGTTGGGAGAGGCATCATGGTGTTTTTGTATAATCCTAATCACAATAATATTTACCCTGTAATGTTTCAGTTTGCTTGTGATCCAATTAGTCCATGGTCCTTTCAGAAACTGTGAATCTGTATGAATTAATAAATATATCAGCATTAAAATGATCCTGTATTTATGAGTAAGTAATAGAAAGGCTGAAATATATAGACCACTTGTTTTAGAATGTCATTTTCTTTTCTGCCACTTGACTATACTAGCTGGTATATCAATTTATTCTCTTTCAAGCAGTGCCCGTGCACACTTATCTCTAACATTTTGTATGTTGTTTCTGTGTTTTTTGCTTTAGAAACCACTATAGAAACCACCAGATTTCTAAGCAAAGAGAAACATAGTTTTGAAAGTAAAATTTGAGCATAGACTTTGCACGTGAAACTTGTGATGAATCATTTTAATTTAATTTGTGTATACTTGTGGGGTAAAATGTCATGTTTTGATATATATATATAAATAAAATATAAAGATTCAATCAAGCTAATTACCATATCCATCACCTCATCAACTTAACTATTTTTATAGTGACATCATTAAAAATATTATTTTAACAAGTTTGAAAGATATAATACATTATTATTAACCGTGGTCACCATGCAGTGCAATAGATCACTAAAACTTATTTTTTCAGTCTAAATGAAACTATGTACCTTGTGATTAACATCATCCCTAACCCCACCACTTTCCAGGCCGTCCTCCCCAACCCAGACTGTCTTTCTACTCCCTTTCCAAGAGATAAACCGTTTTAGATTCCACATACAAGGTAAGATCATGCAATATTTGTCTTTCTGTGCCTGGCTTATTTTACTTAGCAAGATGTCCTCACATTCCATCCATGTTGTCATTAATGATACAATTTCTCATTTTCAAAGGAGAGATGAGTTTTTGTTAGAAAGGAGTAAAATCAATTGAGGCCATGTCTCAGGGGAGGAGAAGATCGGCATGGCATGGAAAAAGTCGAAGTCTGAGCAGAAATAAAGAAGAAATATATTTCAGACAGGAGGAACAGAGTACAGAATATATACAGAAACAGGAATTAAAATATGATTTACTAAAATATTTCCTAAACCCATATGTTAAAAATCTTTCATCTTTCAGTTACAGTTCATCTTAGACTTACCTACATCTTCTCATTTAATTATAAAATAATGTTATTTGCTATTTCTCACATAACAATTAAATCTTTTAAAGTTTAGCTGATTATTTTTGTTATTAAAAATAGCAAATGCTTACTATAGGAAATTGAGAAAATATAAACAATAACTGTATTTCTTTTCAGTTTTCCTAAATAATTTTTGACATTGATAGATTGAATGTTTTAGAGTTCATTTGAGCCTCTACTGAAGCTCTCTGCTTAATTTTATAATCAGCAAATCTCAAGATATAAAAATTTGGTAGAAAAAGAGACTAATTTTATTAACATTTATGTGATAAATAAGTGATATAACTCATTTTATTTTGGAAATTAGGAATAACGGTATGCTGACGTAAATTTCTCAAGGCTTTAAATGATTTACCATTGTGAAGTTATTGGTAATTAAAATTATGACCATAAAATTTACTAATATTTTAATGTGTTCTAATTCTAATACCTCCAGGAAATAAGACTATATACAATATAAATAACCTCAAGCAAAATTTGAATCAGAATTTATTTCATTTCATTTCAATTTGAAATAAAAATCATTAATCCTAAAGGAATTCCTACCTTTGTATCTATTTGAGATTTAAAAAAATAATCCTAATTAAGACAGTATTTATCACATAAACAGTTGTTCAGGCTTAATAATAATAATTTATCGGTAGCCTTATGACATTTTAACGACTTGATTCTCTAAATACTTAATATGTGAATCCAATCATTCTTTACACAAACATAGAATCAGAATTTGTTGGGCTCAATGTTTCCAGTGTTGAATCCTTTGAAAAGCCTTTGGTATGCTTTTACTACCTTATGCTATCTTGGACAAGTTATTCAAACTTTTTGAGATTTAATATACCTATCTATGAAATGCAAACATTTGCTAAATTAATATAATAATGAAATCAGTTAACGAATATAAAGCTTCATTACCAGGATAAGACATTAAAAGCAGAAATGTATTAAAAGTAAATTTCTTCTTTCCAAACTACTTATTATAATCATACTTTACTATGCTCATATATATGTCAGTATGTCCATCTACTATCTATCATCTATCTATATCTCTATTTATAATCAAGAGAGTTGTAATGTTTAGACTCCCATCATGTGTTTCTTCCTTTATTGTTATATTTTTTTGCCAGCTTCTTTTCCTGAATGATAGACTCATATCTAAAGCTCCAACTTGATTTTGAAGAGACCAGATAAGGAGTATAATTAGTAAAAATAATAATCAATAAAATGATAAAGCAGAAAAAAATGAAACAAAGGAAAGCTAATTCCAAAGGGTTTACTTTTCCTGCAGGCAAAAAAATAGCCAAGTACCATATCTTGGTATTGACAGATTAATCAACAGTTTATAATATATTATACTGTCTTTTTAGTATCATCTCCCTCTGCTGCAGCAAAAATAAAATATTCACTCTCTTCTTAACTCCCATGGGATAAGAAACATGCAATTCTTGCCACATGATCATTTTTTTCTTACTGTTCTTTTCCTCTAATGCATTTAAAGTCTTATGGAAGCCCATCTTTCCCATTGCATTTTTTTCTCTAATAATATCAACTTATTTTTTCCAATTGCAATGTAACAGCTTCCCAGGACCACTGTATTGTCCCACCATATTCTGCTTTTTATTGTCAGTTTGTTTTAATGCACTTTATTAAATCCCACTTGCTTATAGATAGAAAATATACCTTATGTATCTGGTAACTAAGAGATGAAGATTTTCCTATTATATACACTAAATACCAAGAAAAACTATATTGTCATTCATGGAAAAGGTATATGTAGTTAATGACAATTTTACTTACTGTATAATAGTGTAATTATTTACCTCTGTTTATATTTGTAAATTGCATTATTACATGGAATCAAATATTATTTTACCAAGGATATGGCTATAAATAAGATTTATAATGTAGTTAACAATAACTCATATTAGTCAGATATACAATAATGCCTATAAAACTATTCTGGAAACATGTTTTAATTTAAATTGAAAGCAAAAATGTGGCTAGCTCATAGAATAAGCATCCCCTAATTAACACCTTGAATAGGTGAAATGTACTAGAGGTGATGACCAATAAACTGTCAGAGAAATGCCTATTGGAAGAAGACGTTCAAAAAAGAACGAATTCATACTTTCGCCTTAAGAAGTGTAATAGTGTACATTTTTTAAAAAAGAAGTCTTTGCCACACAGAATAACCTTATGTTTTATTGAAGATTTGATGAGATACTTTGTGACAGTATCTCATAATCATATGTTTATGACAGATTAAGTGAGCTTAAGTAAATGTATAAGGTGAGCATGTCTTCATTGAAATATAATTTTCTGAAAATCTGTATGGAATGTTTATTACTATTGTTTATATTTAATCATTTAAGCAATTTATTTTAATTTCAGCATATTCAATATTTTAAAAGAAATTTTTAAAGAAAATTTACAGAAATAGATATTTCTTGAAATTATTATTTCAGGAAGATAGTGTATTTAGTACTTTCATAGAAATAGCTAGTTTAGTAGAAAATATTTCTAGTAAGATCAAGATTAAAAGTTTTATATAGATATGTTCAGTTAGTTTGAATATATTTTGTAGTCACAAACTATCCCATTACGGGTCTTATTCCATAGGCAGCTATGGTAAGACAGACATTTTACTGAAGTTCTATTGCTAGGACTGAGTAAAGAACTTAAAATCTGTGCCTGCAAACAGGCTGACAACATTGCAATTTTGATATATTAGCTGCTCTTTAAATTATATCATTAATACTTATTTTTAAGACAAATATGATAGTAAAGCATTTTTAGTGAACTATATTCTATAGAAAATTTGCCCATTTTAAATGTTGTGTTTCATGCATGATGAATTCAAAAGTACTAAGGAAATATATATTAATGTGTAACTACTGTTTAAAAAGAAAAGCAATAAACATACACACAGAGTAGTACTGCTAAAATTATCTTGAAGACTTTTAGAGTTAACTCATTTCATGAGTAACTCATGAAATAAAAATTTTCATTTTCTGTTCAAAATTATAATAATGTTGGGATCCCAAAGTACAATTTATCTAGAAATATTGCCTCTCACTCAGCTGCATAGATCAATGAAAGCTTAATATTATTTTTTAAATTATATATTATACACACCTCAGAGACATATGTTAAATAACATCATTCAGTAAGCTAAGAGATAGCATATAAACAATAGAAAATAAGTATGAATCTATACTATTCACATTAGTAGGACTTTCTGCCATCACAAAATTCCCCAGAAGATGTCAATGCAAGGCTGTAAGATGTTACATTCCAAACAGAAAAGTGAACTAAATCAATGAAAGTCACTGGGGACATCAAGAGTATAGCTACAATGTCAACACCAAATGACAAGATGCCAGTAAATTTGTTTGGAGAAAATTTGTTCGGTAAAGCAAAATAATTTTAAAAGATAGTTACATATTAAAGATATACTTTAAAAAGTAACATCACTATACAACTGAAAAATGTACTGTATATGAAGGTCTTTTAAAATATAATTTTTCTTTTAAATATACTAGCGACAAAAATCATCCAAATAAGAGAAATGTTGGGAAAATTATTTGAGAAATAGGTAGCTGAAAATTTCTACTTTCAAGATTAAATATTATAACACTTCAAATTTCCTTTTGAGCATCTATGTGTCTGTGTGTGTGTGTGTGTGTGTGTATTTAAAAGACACAAAAGCTCTATTTTGTGAGAGAGAAGGAGATAGAGTGAGAGAGAGAGATGTCTGCACAACATGACAATTTATACAGCCATCCAGTGACCACACAGGGCTGTTTCTACAAATCCTTCTCTACAGGGAGAACTTTGTATCTGTTCAGTACTTGTTCTCCCTTGCCTTTCTAAAATATTTTCTAGACCTTACTAACCTATTTACTGCAACATAAATTAATTGTGACAGAAAGAATGGAAGTCTATATTTTTTTCTGTAAGAAAAACCATGTTATAAACTTAGTAGCCAATGACAAGTTTATAACTAGATGATATCTTAACATATAAACAAAACTAAAAAAATGGAAAAATTCACGTCTCTTAGCTATGCACTTTAGAAAAAGCGCCAAAGAAGCATATAAATAAATCTCCAAATAAAACCAAGAATAGACATATATCTGGAAGACAGCTAGCAGTAATAAAGCTTCTCAAATAGAACTCCAGTACATGTCACACTAGAGAAATGAGGGCATGCAATGTGTTACTTATAGTCCTCTATAAATAGTTTAGTTTACGTGTTGTGTGTGCGTATGTGTAATAAAAGATCATTTAATTTTTGTTAGTAAAATAGGAATTTTACCCGATAATTTATAGTTTAGTTAGGTTTCTGGTTATGTGTGAGGTTGAACTTACATTTCTGAGTTATGGATATCATAGAACTGCCAAAATTAAAAGAAAATGGTGATCATTCAAAAATCATTCTCATAGCAGCTTATACTAAATGTGCATACATACTGCTGAAACTAAAATCAACACAAGAAGACATTTGGTCAGTGCTGAATGTGTAAATATTTTGATTACTGAATTCTTAATAATCTTAGCAAAACTACAAAATCACAAAATATAAAGAATCGTACTTGGAAAAATAAGTTGAGTTTACACTGGGAAAATTTCTTCAAAACCTGCATGCTTTTCAATTTCTCATTTATTTCAGTGTTACTCAGGACATTGGTTAACAGTTTAATTCTATAGGTCTACCAGATTTGCTAGATCTTCAGAACCTCAACAATATCTGGTACAAACTGAACAACACCAATACTTATTGAATGGAGTATGTAATAGTTAACTATAATTAATCTTTAGATACTTTTGAAGATTTTACTAGATTTTTCTTACCTTTGTATAATACAAATTGTGATATAATGTATTGATTTTAATGATCATCACAGTACATATTTTATTCACAAGTTTTTTGATAGTGAACTTTTTTCATATTTTATTTTGGGAACAATTACTTTATTTGATAAAAATTTGGTATTCCCTATAACACGTTATTTGAGGTAGTGATGAACATTTAGAAGCTGAGTTTCAGAATCTAGTATCCTTGTCTCTATGTATATCTTTCAACTTCTGAGATAACCTGAGCTTCTAAACTCTTTCATTTAAAGAAATGACTTCCTGGTATCAAATGTATGTGATGACAAACACATTGAATTAAGGTTTTTGAACACTATGGTTTGCAAAGCTAGATAATGTTGATAATATAAAAACTGCAATAAAACCTTGTCAATAGACAAACTCCAATAACACCTTGTCAATAGACAAACTCCAATGAAACCTTGTTTAGTTGGCAATCATTCTCAGGGAAAAATGTGTTCATAAAAAACAATGAAATACTTTCATAAATAACGAAATAACTATATATTCTCAAAGCATTTCACAGTATTGATATTTATCACAGTCATGCACAACTTAACAGGGTTATGTTCTGAGAAATACATCAATAGGCACATTTGTTCTTGTGTGAACATCATAGAGTATACTTACTCAAACTTAAGTGGTATAACCTACTACACACCCTGGCTACATGGTATAAACCTATTGCTCCTAGGCTACATACCCATATAGCATGTTACTGTACTGAATACTGTAGGCAATTGTAACACAATTTTAAGTATTTGTGTACATAAATATACCTAAAGATAGAAAAGTGACAGTAAATTATGGCATAGAAGATAAAAATTGGCACACCTAAATAGGACACTTACTGAATGAAGGTTGCAACATTGGCAGTTGTTCTTGGTAAGTCAGTGAGTGAGTGAATGTGAAGGCCTAGGGCATAACTGTACATTACCTTATTCTTTATAAAGACTGTACACTTAGACTATGCTAAATTCATAAGACATTTTTCAAGTTATTTATTTTTTAATAATTTTAGCTTACTGTAAGTTTTTCACTTTATAAACTTTTTCCTATTTAAAACTTTTTGCTCTTCTGTAATAACATTTAGCTTAAAACAAAAACACATTTACAGATGTACCAAAATATTTTCTCTATATTCTTATCCTATAAGCTTCTTTTCTTGTTGTTTTTTTCTTTGTTTTACATTTTAAAATTTTTGTTAAAAATGAAGACACAAACACACACATTAGCCTAGGCCTACACAGGGTCAGAACCATCAAGATATCACTAGGCAACAGGAATTTTTCAGCTTCACTAAAATATTATGGGATCACCATTGTATATGAGGTCTGTCATTAACCAAAACATTATTATTGCAGTTCCTGATTGTATTTCAAATGTATTATGATTTATTATCACTACATCCTTACCTATAGAAAGTCACCCAAAATAGAATTAAAACTGATAAAGATCAAGTTAACAACAATAAAAAGCAAAATAATAGAATAGCAATGCTTGTGTAGTAGTTTACTTATGAGAGAGTATGTTTGTTATCATGGCCAATTTTCTCCTTACTCTTCTCCTTCATCTTGTTATTGAGCATATTTTGGTATCAAATACACATTTGTTAATATCATACATGCTCAGATAAAATAATTTTAGGCAATTTATATTAACAATTATATAAAACCACCTAACATACTAAAAAGAAGCCAATTGTTGATTGAAGCTCTATTTTGTATCAGGCAATGTATACACAGTTTTTTATTTAATTAGAAAAATGGAATAAAACAAGGAAGAGAAAACTCTGTGATATATACATTCTTCCATTTCATAGAAAAAATAAATGGATCACACTTGGTTAAGTAACTTGTTCAATTGTAAAGTGTCAAAGACCACTCGCATTCAAATTCAGAGTTCTACAATGTAAAATTCCATGCTTTTATAACTGTATACTAGTCCATCCATAATGTATTGCCAAAAATTAAATACTAAAGACATAAGAGGAGGAAGAAGTCGTATAGAGGACTCATTTTATTAATGATAAAATCCAAAATTTAGCTCTGAACATCTAGTGACCTAAAACTATTATCTACCAAATTGGTTTGCATAGCTGTTACTTTTTATATTCTTTAGGTTAAGATATATCTTCTGAAACATTCATTTTTTTTCATCTAAACCTTTGATAAGAGCAACTTATTGCACAAAGCATTTTAAATCTTTGGCAAAATATATACAAGAAGTATTTTCTTGATTTTACTTCAAAAAGATCTGCATCTTCTGAATACCAAGTGTATATGCAGACAATACTAGTGATGCTTTATTGAAAAGGTGAGTGCATTTGAACTCTATTCTGGTCTTAAAGGGAAATGGAGGGTGTCAGACATACACATGCTTAAGAATATTAACAATATGAATCTGACCTCTTCTTGTCAAGCAGGGGTCAAATAAGCTAAAGTATCCGAATGGGTGATGGGTTAACGTACTGTGCCATAGGCCTTATTCTGGAATCTCCAAAGGGCTGTACTGTGATGGTGCTCTAGTATGTTTCTTTCTGTATTTGATGTTAAAGGGATCAGAAATAGAGTTTCAAAGAGCAACATGAAAGTGATATAAGGTGTTCAATCCAAAGGTTATGAAAGATGATTTTATGAAGAAAATCAAAGGTGCTCTATTTGCAACCAAGGCTATTTCAAAACTATTGAAAGTATTTCTTTGGAATCAGAAGATATATATATGTAATCTGCTATAATGAATAGTAGTTACATGTGAAATCTAATTAAGTAAAATATCATTGCAATGAAAACATGAAAAATATATAAAACTTCACAGGTACATAGTGCTTCACAGTTTGTAAACACTTTTCTGTACAAGATCCAGTTCAAAATAAAAATCACTTACAAAACTTAGAAATAATAATAATGCTCAAAGATGGGGAAAAGGTTTAAACTTTTAGGTTGATTGATGCTTTAAAACCTCCTCACAGATAGTATTTTTTAGATTTAAAAAGTATGACTTGCCTGAAATCATAGGGAGCAAAAGTGTCACTCTTTAAAATCAGAGTCACCAATTTCCCTCTGTAAAACCTACTGTTGCTAATCATAACAGGAACCACCCTGTGTATGTTTAAACGCCTTTTTAAAAAACATGTATTCATGAATTTCATATTTGTAATAGACTTTTCAGGTAGATGTTACTAGTATCCTAACTCTATGTTAATACTAAAGGTCAAAGAAGTTTAACACTCCCATGCAATACTGTTTGCCAAAACCAGCCCTGAAATCCAGGTCTTTATTTGAGATCACATGTTTTTCATACTATGCTGGATTGCTAGACTGTACTTCACAGTCAAATCACTCCATTAATTTCAGCACAGTATAGGAAATTTGTAGGTTCTTTGAAGTTTCCTGTATTTAACTTGATAGAAATAATACACAGAAATTAAGAATTCCAAAGTTACACGAAACTCTTTTTGTAATAAAGTGTATTTTTAAAATGATCAAACAAACTTTAGCTTTCTTTATCCATTTACCATAAAAAAATCCTCAATACTAACCTTCTTTCATCGTCCTCACTTTCACATATTCCACAGACCATTGAGATCTGTCTCTCCTTCTATTAATCTACTAAAAGAGCTCCTATTTAAGTCACTACAAACTTGTTAATTGCCAAACATAATGACCTTCTCTCAGTTTTTACCTATGTGACTTCTCTGAATTATTTTCAATGTCATTCACGTCATTCACAATCTTCTATTGAAAATTCTATTTTTGATGTTGACTCAGCCTTTCCCTTTTAATTTTTGGAAGAATGTTTTTCAAACTTGTTAGATGGGTCCTCTTATTCTGTATCTCCAATCTGCCTACTGAGCTGAAGTCATACCTTCATTGACTTAGTGGATGTTTCTCTGATATTTTACTCAGGAAACTAAAATCTTTCCAAAATCCAACTCACAATCTACTCACAGAGTAAGGATTTACTTCTGATTCTGCAAGTACATTAAAGACAATACTGGCCTGTAGGTCTCTCTACTCTCTGACTTTACTTCTCACTACACTCCTCCTCATACACTGTGCTCCATCTAAATAATAACTTTTTATTTACCTTTCCCACTAGCTGGAATGCTCTTCCCCAGGTTTATGCATGACTCTGTCTCTCAACTTCAAGTCCTCACATTTAAAATTCCTAGTATTCTTTTGTTTCCATCTCGTTTCTTGCCTAATTTTCTTCACAGACCTTATCATCATTTTCCAGATTATATATTTTTTGCGTATCTGTTTAATGCCTGTCTCCCCTACCAAAAATTAAGCACCTTCTGATCGAGGGCTGTTGTCAGTTTTCTTTGCTGCTCTAGCCATCTGATATGACTTGCCCCTGTCCCCACCCAAATCTCATCTTGAATTGTAGTTCCCATAATCCCCACATGTCATGGGAGAGACCAGGTGGAGATAATTGAATCATGGGGGTGGTTTCGTCCATCCTGTTCTCATGATAGTGAGTGAGTTCTCATGAGACCTGATGGTTTTATAAGGGGCTTTTCCCTCTTTTGCTCTGCACTTCTTCCTGGCGCCATGTAAGACAAGTCTTTGCTCTTCCTTCATCTTCCACCATGATTGTGAGGCCTCCCCAGCCATGTGGAACTATGAGTCCATTAAACCTCTTTTTCTTTATAAATTACCCAGTCTCAGGTATGTCTTTATTAGCAGCATGAGGACAGACTAATACACCATTTATAGCACTTTGCTTGGTAAATTCAACTCATTGTTGAATAAATTGATGAAAGAATATTTGACCCCTTTCTTTTACATACTTTCCACATAAAAATAAATATTATTTGTGTCATATCATTTTGCAATATAACCTAATTCAGGCCCACAGCATCGTATTTTGTTCCTTGTCAGTGTCCCTGTCTAAGTGGTATTAGTGACTCTTTGCTCTTTTTTCTCAGATCTAGTATCACAGAAACATGAGTGGCATATTTCTAAAACACAGATCTGATCCTTTTAATCTCTCATAATAAAAGCATTCACCAAAGGACAAAGTTCAAATCTGTTTTCATTTTACAACAGGTGCTTCACAGTCTTAGCCTAATACACAGTTCCAACTCCACACACTCTCCAGAATTATTTCCACGTAGTAACTATACCAAACTAATTATTGTAACCTGATCATAGTCTTTTTTCACATGTGTCTGAGAGTTTTTCCTTAGAGCAAAGTTAACTATTCTTCTGCTATCCAACTGGAAAATGCCCTCTCAAGCTTTCAAAACATCTTTTTTATGATATCTTCTCTGACCTCTTCAGGAATAATTATCACACATTATGCTGTTCTAAAATGTCCATTCTTCCTGGAATTATTAGCATCATAATATTGTGCTCATGTAATTCCCTGGTGAAGCTATAATATTAATGAGAGACATTCAAGTGTTTATAGAAAGAGAACAAGTTGAGAGTTGCAAAAAGGTAAATCACATACATTATGTAGACAGAGAAACCAGAAAAAACTGGAAGAAGATAAAAGTATAGAAAATGAAAACAAGTATGTGATAGGAAGTATGCTTGTCAGCATGTAACAATATGCTTCTGAGGTCTGGACAGACAGCACAGACAATGAGGGAAAAGATAAAAATGAATAATTGCGAGGTTTAGTTTATGTTAACAATTTAATAAAAATATTTGGATCGTTATGCTTTTCTAGGACCTATGCTAAATTTCCGTGCTACAAAGAATAGTAAGAAAGACAAGCATTCTTCCCTGAGGCCCCAGGTTGGCAGGAAAGTGACTCCTAATTGGGAGATCAGTGAGTTTAAGTAGGGTCCCAGCAACAGGGCAAGGTAAGGAAGCAAAACTCTAGCACACCGGTAAGGCAAAAGTTAGAACATCTTTTGTAGGATTCTGGGGTAAAAGGAGGTTATCAAGCATGGAGTTCATTAAATAGTGTCAAGTTAGAGCTCCCACTCAATAGCCAAGTTACATCAGGGGTAGAATCTGGGAGCAAAGTGTGAGCTCAGTCACTAAAATCGGACTGCTAGGTTCAATTCTGACCAACAGCAAGAGTGATATCATAAGGAGCAACAGAATATGAGCCTTTAGCTAGTTAAATGCCTTGTAATTCACCTCTGGATTACTTCTAAGAACAAACACACTGCAGGGAGTTATCAAGGGCTCCCATAATGAAGAAAAGATGAATGAAAGTGTCAGGAAGAAGTACAATCCTATTTCATTTCCCCTTTAGGCTGTGACGTCCTCTGTGTTAGAAACAATGTTTTATTTATCTTTATATCAGGATTTAGAATAACCGGAGAGTAACTATTAAGTACACAACAAATACCTATTGCAGTGATTAAACAGAATTATACCTTCAGTTACTGTGTTTTGTTTAATTTTACCATAGGGACACGGTGATGTGCTATCAAACATTACAATAGAGGCTATAAACACAGAGTATATCAAAGTAAGAAATGGAAAAAGAAAACAAAACACTTAAACCATATATTCATTTTTCTTGATCTTCTGTGCTATATTCTAAACCTAAATTTTTGACTGCATAATTGCATGATGACAAAGTTTTCACGTGATAGGAGAAAAAAATGGGAGACAGGGATAAAAGACAAATCTGAAAATAATATATGAAATAAATTCATGTATCCTACTTTGATCATATGAATTATTTTGAAATCTATGTTTTAAATGTAAGAAGGGAAAAATATGATGATATTTGTCTAATTAACAGCTTGTATACACTTAATGATGTGGTGAGGGATAAGGACAATATATTTTGGGGTACTGTGATTATGGCAACACACTGAAATTTGACTGCTAAAATTATTTTCAACAAAATTTGGACTATGAAGGGGATTCTATTGTTTATAAAAAAGTTATCTGCCAGGCGTGGTCGTTTATGTCTGTAATCCCAGCACTTTGGGAGGTCGAGGTGGGCGGATCACTTGAGGCCAGGAGTTTGAGACCAGCCTGGCCGACATAGTGAAACCCTGCCTCTATTAAAAATAACAAAAAGTAGCCCGGCGTGGTGGCACCCGCCTGTAATTCCAGCTACTTGGGAGGCTGAAGCAGGAGAATCGCTTGAACTCAGGAGGCAGAGGGTGCAGTGAGGTGAGATCATGCCACTGCACTCCAGCCTGGGTGACAGAGGGAGACTGTTTCAAAAAAAAAAAAAAATCTGTCTCTAAGTAGGTGAGTTTCCACAGTCCAAGTTTTAAATACTAATAATGTATTTAAAAATAGTCACTGTGTTTCGGAGATAAATGTGCACTTTTACTCCCTCCTATATAGAAGTAGATTTTCTCTGTACTTGTTTTGTTCCTATATTATCTATCTTCATCTGACTTCTCTCCGTAAGAACTAGGTATAGGGCAAATATGATCTTTCTGTACTTTCTTCACAACTCTTCTGTTAACATAGATATATTTTAAAATGTAAACATTTATTAAAAAGCAAAAAAAAAAAGTGTGCTTTCTTACAGTTTTATTTTACTCTGCCCGTTATTTATCCATGTTTAATTTACCACTAAACTGTGAAAAGCTTCAGGTATCATTAAATCAGAAAATATTTCTAATTTGCATATATTTTTAATGTAATGGCTGTATCATATGTTATCTACTTAATATTTCCTATTTTGGGGCACCTTGGTTGCTTCTTTTTTTAAAAAAAATAAGTAACTCTATAGTGAATATCATTCTACATAAATTTTTCTCATTTCTGGTTTTTGTATGTTTTTGACTTCAATTTCTTTCCTTCCTTTCTTTTCAGTCAATTGATCTGACTAGGGTTGTTTATATGTTATAATGGATTTTTTTGAATTAACATTTCTAGGTTATTGGATTACAATTTTCAAGACTGATGCAACTGAAGATTAAAATGGCTGACATGTTAAAATAGCCCAAATTAGAATTTTCTTACTTTATCCATATGATTCATAAAAATTAAGCATTCTTAATACAAAAGCCGTTAAAACAAGAAAAGAATCAAATTTGTTGACTGGCTGAGGAAATCAACTGCTTCTTATTTTCTCCTACCCTCCCTCAGGGTTGCATGTTCTCTCAGCCCAAGAATTTTCCACCACATAGTTGTGTGTGACTAGACACCTATGATTGCAATGGATTCTCTTGAAGTATTACTTGAACATTCACATTTGAGGGACCAGTTGAGTCTCAAGATGTTATTACTTATATATGATATTTGTTTTATTCCCTAATTAGGTTATAGACATTTCTGGTGCGTCATTTTGTCTATCAGAAGCAGGCCTATGACTCATTCATTTATTTTCATTGAGAATTTGACAATATTTTCTTCATTTTCTTCTAACTTTCTCTTCAAAAATATGCAGAAGACATATTTACATACGCTTCGTCTCAGCTAGGGTAAAAATGTTTAGTAATACTCCAAATTAAGAAAGAATTTACTCTACATATACATTATATGACCAACTTATTTGGACCAGTAAAAATTATTTTGACTTTACATAGTATATGAACATATTTACCATAATTTTAACTTTTATCCTACATGTGACAATCATGACAAATAGTTTGTGTAATAAATGTCCATTCAGAAACTGAAACTTGTTTTTATTTCCCCTTCACTTCAGTTAGGTAATTATTAGCAAACATTAAGAAATGGCTTATATTACTCTAAAATAATACTTCTTATCTAGTGAATCAGGCTTCTTGGAGATAGATGCAGCTAACAATAACATCCTAAAAGAACAATATTATAGAGTATTATTAGGAAAAATTACACTAAATTCCTTAACAAGTATTCAATACCTGCTAAAATATTTAAATTGAATAAAACAAATATATGTGCCTATACTCTAAATTTCCAAAAGAAGATGAATTTATGCTGGATAAAAAATAAATTGTTCTCATTCTCACTTTTAGCATTTCTGGATGTGTCTTTAAATAAATAAATAAATAATGGTCTCCAGATTGTGATGGTCATTTTCTATTTTATCAATTATGAGAGAACAGAATAAAATCACTTTAAACTATTCATTTCCATCAAAGAAAATGAAATGCCTCCAGTAAAAGGCATCTCCAGAATGTTGACAGTCAGGTTTGAGAGCAAACAATAGGCAAAGTGAAATAAAAAAGCAAGGTAGAGTGAACACAGTAATTTATTCAGGTAATTAGAAAGAAAATTGCGTTCAACTGAGTACCATAATTGTTTTGAGGTCAGTAAGTAAAATTTGCAATTAAACACACTTTATTTAGTACATGAATAATCATGACTTCACTCTTTTATCTATTGAGCATCAGAAAAATGTTGAGTAAAGTGAAACTAAAACAAACTATCAAACAAGATTTTTTAAAGTTTGTAAATCAAACTTACTGAAAATTCCTTAAAAATTCACCAATATTAGAATTTTCTGTTTTATCATCTAGCATTACATATCCAAGAAAGTGGCATTGACATATTTAAATTATTTTCAGAGGTGAAGAAAAGCTGTTTATCTTATGTACACTATTTGGTAATTTAGTATCCCTCTCATGTGTTATATTTCTTATAACATTTCTATAATAAAATTTTATAAATCCTGACTTTGCCTGAACTCTATTCGTCTGAAATATTTAGAACTGTATAAAACCTAAAAAATATGGAAGGGAGAATTTAGCGATTATTATATTCCATTCACTACAATAAAAGTATGCATCACTCCCCTACTGATGTTATAGCAAACTGGCTTATAAATATAGATGACTCATTATTAAGTCCCAGAAAACATGTGCCTAATGTTTTCTAATCTCTTAGCTTCCACATTTAAGAATCACCTTTAACTTATACCCTTTCATTTTTAGATAATTGTAGAGCCATTTCGGTTGATTAAAAGGATATCAGTCTTAGAGGACCAAAGATAATTGAAGCTGCCCCTGATACATGGATGCAAGACTATTTTAGATACCTGAAAAAACTCTAAAGTAAATTATAGGATTAGTAACAGATCTTTTCTCTTACAGTGGGAGAAACTTAAGAGTCTGTAATCCAAAAGTGGAGCATATCAAAAGCAGCACTTTTTACAAGTTGGATATATAACTGCAAAAATTATTTCGCTTTTTCATTCTTTCTCAAAACTTATCTGTTAAATGGCAATAGGTTTAATATTGGTAAGCCTCTTTCGGCTTTCAAAGAGTACAGAGTCTTATGCAGAAGATAGATAAGAAACTAGCACTGAGTCTGAATTCATCACTGCTGGGATACCAAGTCTTACATAAAGCTTGGTACTTTGCAGACATTCAATTCATATGTCGAATCAATTCAATATGTTTTATTTTACTTACTTGTTCTTCCATCATATAATCTTTCTCTTAGGTCACGAAATTGACTCAAATGTTAACAATATGAAATCTCTTTTCAAGACATTGAGAACCAAGTAATATCCAGAAACTAGTCATAAAATTTACTAAATATTATAATGAATTATGAACAAAAGTCTATGGAAGAGCAACTATCAGCCTGAGGTTCAAGTAAGGCTAAGATGCTTTCTAAGGGAAGGTAATTCCTGACCTGAGGTACTGGTAGGGAACATGGGTTTAGGTATAGAGAGAAGGCAAGAAGGGACAAAATCAGGAGGCAGCATGTGTGAAAGCCACAGCATGAATCATTTGAGTGACTAGAGTTCCAAAGTGTAAGTCATGCAAAAGAAAATAAGAAGGAAGAAAAGGAAAAAGGGAAAGTCAAAGTCCCTCCCATGATATCTTAGGGCTAATTAATTTGAATTTGATATCAAATGGTTTCTATAGCTAATGGAGAAAGATAATCATGGTAATGATCAGTTGTATTTATGTTTCACAAATATTATTCAAGTTAACATAGCAAAAAGGCATTAAAGGAAGAGAAGACAATGCAGGGAGACTATGTAAAACAGGATGAAGTAATCCATAGGACAAAGTAAGCTATCGGCATTAGGAATGCTAACAAATTTACAGCTTTGCTAAATATTAAGTGATGAAATTAACAAGATTCAGTTATCGATTGGTGTGGATGATAGAAGCCACAAAGCTGTCCATAAAGTTCATGTATTCAGAGCTAAGAGAATGGTGGTGCTGTTCATTTAGAAATGATATATGTTTGGACAGGAAGATTTGAAGAGATTTAATCGCAAACTCTCTTTTAACATATTGTGTTGAGTAATATCTCTGTGACATGCAGGTTATTTATATGCCCAAAACGATTTGATACATGAGTTTGAAGCTCCCCAACCAGACATACAGCTTTAGGCCTCTCTGACATAGACTAGTTCAAGTCACAAAATAAGACAAAATTTCTTTGAAGAATATTCAGTGGGAAATACTTATGACATGGGCAGAACCCAGAGGCAAACATGAGAAGAATCAGCAAACAGAGAAAGAGTACCAGCAGAGTGATTTTTTTTTTTTTGAGACCACAGAAGAGATTTGCAAAAGTGAGAAAGTAGGCCATAGACCCAACAGCTATGGTCATATACTTCACAATCAGCAAAACATTAAGGAAACGAGGTTATCGGTGGACCTCCTTCCTAAAGTAGTTTCAATGCAGTAGTGGATGTAAATACTTAACCAAACTGATTGGAGGAATGAAAATAAGCAAGAGGAGAATGTGAGCTTGTGCAACACTTTCAACAAGCATATTTGAATGGAAATAAAGAAGAGTATAACTAATCTGACATCTTGGGTCAAAAATTAATTTTTAAGGTGCCAGAAAATTTAAAGAAAGTAGAAAGGAACCAAAAAATGAGAGAAAGATTAATGTGATTATATGGGCAGTGGATAATTGAAAATCTTTTGATGAAGTGAGGTCCTGAGAAGAACAAGATTATGAGATATGGAGCAGGGGTGATGGACTTAATCCTAGATAAGAGGAGGAACATGCTTTTCATAGGAATTATGTTCAAAGTTGATTCCTTTTCTTCCTCAATGACAATTTTCAGTTTTTTCACTTGTTTTTGGCTTAATAGGCAAGTATATCTGTTGAGATTCATGGGGAAAAGTCAGATCTATAGGAGGCTATAGGAATATGCTAAAGCTTAGAAATAAGCAAAGGTCAAACTGCTATATGTTTGCGTACATTTGCATCAGAAACCTGAAAAAATGTTTCTATTAGAAGAAACTTCAATGTTACAAATTATTGTCTACTGTTATATCTCTTAGGTGTCTGTGGGTTTTCAGCTCACTTCCTGTTTCTCTGAAATTGCCTGTGTATTGTGTTTGAAAGGGAAGACTCAAAAGCACATTCTCTAACACTCTTTGCACCTAGAGAATTCCAATGGGAACATAGAGGTAGGATAGGGATTGAATGCAATAGAAAACGGTTTCAGTGCAGCCCTCAGGAGTTCAAATTGCTTTTTGCAACCCTGGCAGCATGGTTTCAGGAAGAAGCTGCACCTGCAAGAGTCACATCCTTCCTCCCCCAGGGCTGAGCCAGCCCCCTAATTGCTCATAAATCCTTTTCTCTTTTGCTTCTACAGCCCATCTAACAACTTTGCAACTGCATTAAATTTCTCAGTATCTGAAATTCTAGAGTGATTTCTGCATTCTAGACTTGACACTGACTGATACAATTGCCAAGAAACAAATCAGAACTACATAAAATATATTAATTGTCTGAATACAGGGTAAAAACAAAGATAATTAATATATTTTTACTTAGTAATTAAACAATTACTAAAAAAATCTAAATTCCAACTTCTAAGTTTAACTGAACCAAACACAAATATGCAGTGAACACCTTGCCTTATGAATTAAGTCAGCAGAATTTCACTATTTTTTTAAAAATTAAATGTTTAATAAGTCTCATAAAATAATACACCATCCAAATTTAATGAAAGACAAGCTATATTTTTGAATATATTACATTATCTGAAATTGTGATTGGTAGTTAATGTTATCACCTATGCTGTTAATAACAAGTTGCATTGGCACTTTTGTAATGATTCCAACTATTTTTTAAGATTCAATATTTCTAAGTTTAGCTCAGTGAAAATTTTATTTTATTATCATATTAATAGCATAATAATGAAATGGCAATATCTAAATACAATTATCTCAGCTGTTTAAAGCATTGGGATTGGGAAGACATTGGTCAAAGAATACGATATTTCAATTAGACAGGAGGAATGAGTTCTGCCAATCTATTGTACAACATGGTGACTACAGTTAATAGCAACGTATGGTATACTTGAAAATGCTGAGAGTAGATTTTAAGTGTCCTCATCACAACAAACTATATGATACAATGCATATGCTAATTAGCTTAATTTAGCCATTCCACGGTTTATACCTATATCAAAGCATCATGTTTTACACCATAAACATATATAATTTTTAATTTGTCAATTAAAAATAAATACAAATGTACTTTAAAGCACTGCTGCTGAGAATCTGATTGCAAGTATAATTTTTCATATGGGTGAGGTACATTTCTACGGGGAAAATTATTTTTGTTGTTTCAACCTGCACTCTTCACCCCAGCCAGCTGTTTGTTAAAAACATAACTGTATTGGTTATCCAGTTCTGGGTTATAAATTGCCCCCAAACAAGTCTTTATTATATTACATAGTTTCTAAGGCTCAGGTATCTGGAAGGGGCTTATTTAGGTGGTTCTGGTTCAGGGTCTTTCACGCAGCACTAGTTACATTGCCAGTTGGTGCTGAAGTTCCTCTTCCAAGCTCACTTATGTGACTCTTGGGGGAGGGGGAGGCTTCAGGTCCTGGCCTCTTCCTGTGCCTCTGTAAAGGCTTCTCAGGACAGAGCTTCCCTTACTGCAAGATATCTGAGACAAAGAAAGGGAATGTGTCAAGGAGATTTTTATAATTATAGACTCTCCCAAGTGAAAACCTGCAAGACTTTGTAACTTATCATTAGAGGTCACATGCCATCACTTCTTGCATGTGTTTTTGGTCACATGGACCTACCTAGGTCCAAGGGGGGAGGAGTTACAAGAGTAAAAACACCAGGAAGCAGAGATCATTGTGAGCCATATTGGAGGCTGTCTTCCACAATGCCCTTCCTTTAGAATTGTTCCAATGAGAATACAATGATTTGGGGGATTGGAATTGATTAAATGTATATTTTAGGTTGGGAAAATGTAAACCATTTTCTATGTAAATTGCCTGCCATCATTCAATCTTTAGTACCATCTTTGCTTTTGAAAAATGGAGTATTATATATGCACTAAAAATTGTACCCAGAAGTGGGAGAAAACTTTTAATGTGAGAGAGAAATATTTCAAATTGTTTAACAAGAAAAATTATAACATAAATAATTTCTGACTCATAAGTATAGTTTTTAGACAAAAATCACTAGTAGTGTATAAGTGCAAAATTTTCTTTCTATAGCTGTATTGTTATATATTTAGAAGCTTATTTAATTCAGTAACATTTAAATATACTTCCAAACATATATAATCTAATATATGATTTTAAAAACATTTTTATTCAATATACAAAACTAATCAACACAAAAGATAAATAGTGTATTAAAATAACAGGATTTTTCTATTTTCTTTGGGTTTCTTAAAATGGAATTCAAATAAAGCATGAACTAAAGATGTCAGTCTTATTAATCATTCCGTAAGAATCATAGGTATTCTTCACATCTCCAATAGAATAGAGTATCATATTTTTTATTCCTTTTTTTTATGTTGGCAACTAAATACTTAAGTCATTTACTTTCACCTCTTTTTTAAGCGTCTTTAAGACTGCAAGTTTAGAAGACGTACCACTATACCATAAAAAAAGATTTTTTGTTGTTCAATTCTGTAAATTCCAGTGTGAATGAATTTGCACAGAGGATATTTAGGGGAAATTTATGTTTTAAAATATATGAAGGTTTTTCTTTTCTTTTACGGCTTATTTGAAAATTAATTTCAGTAAAAACATATAATAGTATTTGAGAAAAATAAAATATTCTTATGATCAAAAAAGTGGCTAAATTGTTATATATTTCATGTGTTCTTAAAAAATTATATAGTCTCTATTTTTGAGGATGAATGATGCACTATATAGTTATTAGCTCTAGCTTGGGATATTACTATTTCAATCTTCTCTACACTTAACTAATTTTGTGTGTAGTGAATTATTACCTTCTAATAGAGTTGTGCGTGTCACAAATTTATCACCATAGGTTGACATTTATTTAGTAATCCTATTAGTTTTGCTTTGTATAGTGGGAAGTTATTTTTAAAATATATTCAGGTTTTATTCTTCTTATATTTTCTGAATTATTGTATTATTTGATACCATCTGTGTTTATTTTTATTAATGTTTTACTGTTAATATTTATTTTGACACTTTTTTTGTTTATTTTCTCCTTGGTAGCCCATTCTCTTTTTATTTTTAGCATTAAAATATTGTCATTTGATTTAGGCGGGTATGCTTAGGTGGGTATCTTCTTGTTTACTATTTTCTAGAAGGTATTTTCTCTATTTTATTTTCACTCTTTCTTTGTTGTGTTTTGGTTTAGTCTCTTTAGAAACCTGTAACTGTCTAATTCGAATCCAATCTGATCATAAATGACTTATAAAGCATAAGTTTAATTCATTTACATTTGTTTAATTACTGATATATTTAAATTTATTGATTCCATTTTAATCTGTGCTTTTGACGTGACATCTTTTGTTTAGTTCTTTTCCCTTTTTTGTTACATTCTCTTAAAGTGATAGAGTTTCTGTCTTTCCATTTTGTTACAGCAAAGGGGTCCCGATCCAGGCCCCTAGAGAGCGTTCTTGGAACTCATGCAAAAAAGAATTCAGGGCGAGTATGTAAAGTGAAAGCAAGTTTATTAAGAAAGTAAGTAAAGGAATAAAGAATGGCTACTCCACAGACAGAGCAGCCCCGAGGGCTGCTGGTTGCCCATTTTTATGGTTATTTCTTAGTGATATGCTAAACAAGTAGTGGATTATTCATGCCTCCCCTTTGTAGACCATATGGGGTAACTTCCCGACTCTGCCATGGCATTAGTAAATTGTCATGGTGCTGGTGGAAGTGTAGCCGTGAGAACAACCAGAGGTCACTCTCATCGCCATCTTGATTTTGGTGGGATTTGGCTGGCTTCTTTATTGCAATCTGTTTTATCAGCAAGGTCTTTATGACCTGCATTTTGTGCTGACCTCCCATCTCTTCCTGTGACTTAGAATGCCTTAACTGTCTGGGCATGCAGCCCAGTACGTCTCAGCCTCATTTTACCCAGCTCCTATTCAAGATGGAATTATTCTGGTTCCAATGACTCTGGCAATGTTTCCACTCCTGAAGGGAAAAATATAGATCATATTCCCCCCTGCGTTTTTCTGATTATCTGCACGTAATATACATATATAATTGTCAATTTCTCCAACAAAAATAAAGTTTGCTATTTTTTTCTTTTTCTCCTGAATTATTTTACATGATCTAATTTTTACCTCACATAAAGTGTCCTATGAAAATTTTAAAATTGTCTATTAAATTTTTATCATACTTATTAAAGTATCTGCTCATTATTTTTTATTACATCTCACACAATTTGCTTCTGTTCACTTTTCTTTGCAGTACATGCTTTTACAGGTCTTTTGGTTGGGGGTCTAAATTTATAGCTAGTATTATTTCACTTTTGAGTGATCTTTAAACCAAGTAGATATTCATTCATTCATAACAATGTTTATGGTTTCTACTTTACACAGGCACTCTTTTAAGCACTTGGGGATCGGGCAGTTAACCAAACATATAAAGGCTGGACCTTGATGTGGCTGCTTTTCATAGATGGGGGGGATTAATGATAATGAACACAAAAATAGAACAAAATAAAATAGAATGTGAGATAGAATATCAGGTATAAAATCTTTAAAAGCTAAAAAGGAAAGTAAAGACTAAAAGTCTATTTTATTTTAGATATAGTGTCAGGGATGATTTTGTGAGGAAATTGCTTTTGGGAAAACTCACTGAAAAGTGGGAGAAGAAATCTGGGTGCAGAATGCATCAGACCGAAGGAAGATATCCTCAAATACCAGTTTTCCCCTTTGTTGCATAGAAATAAACACTAATAGGTCTGTCATAGTAATCAAATTAGAATAATGAAGTTAAAGTATTTTGTAAAACATAGAGTCTCATACAAATAAAAGATAATACTTAAATATCATGCAATTTAAGTCAGAGGCTCTCAAATCTCAGAGTGTAGCAAAACAATCTGGCTGGTTTTTATTTCATCTCACTTCATTATCTTTCTGTTTCATTTTGACATAGAAGTTCTATTCACATGGTGCAAAAATCAAAATAATAATTTCAAGTGTATAGTGAAAGGTCCAGCTACCCCAATTTCCTCACCCTGACATGTCCTGCTAATCAAGTAATCACTGTTTTTAGTTTTGTGTGTATTTTACCAATATCTTATTTAAATCCAGCAACTAAAAGTTTTTACTCCACTTTCTTACATGAAATATGGTACTTAATATACACTGCTATACACTCCCTTAGCCTTTGGCAAACAACATTTTAATGATTTAATAAATCCGAATCGCTAGGAACAGATTGAGATCAAAAACCAGTGATCAGACATGAATTAGGTGCAGATGATCTGCATATCACACTTTGAGGGGTTATGAATTATCAATATCTTTCAAACAGTTCCCAATATGTCAGCATTTGAGTCATTCCACTAACACGGAAAACAGAAACCACTGAGAGTGTCCTGCAAAACAACAAAAGAATAAGACTGGCCAACACACACACACGTGCACACACACACACACACACCTTAATTGTATAGCACGATCACTAAATCATTTTAATTTCTAGAACTACATTAGTCAGGCTTCATCAAATAAGTAAGTATATTAAGAATAATATAAACTAAAGGACTTGTTGTAAGGATTTAGCTTTATTCAATTATGAAAGCTCTTCTATGCTTGGCTGTGTAGTAGCAGGGCAGGCAGCGAGGAGTGGGAAGGGAAGATAATTTGAATGCGAAGAAGAAAGTGAAGAGGAGCATAAACAAACTGAAATCTGCGAGAACAAGCTGGAAACTGCTTTACTGGTTCCCATTATTACATACCTGACCCAGGAGCAGAAGAAGCTGAAGGAATATGCACCCAACAGCTGCCCCAGGAGTGGAACATGCTGGCCCAGGATTCAGAAACCCTGAGCTGGAGTTGCTGAGGGCCTGGTGAGGCAGTAGACCAACATGTAGTAGAACAACATGGCTGTGCAGTACTAGCAGCGGTGCTCTGTGCCCGCTGAGCTTTCGTTTTTAAGCATAAAAAGGATATGGCTGCTGCTTCTTGGATGCTTAAGTTCTGTTTTGAGGATTTTGTACAAAATATTTTCTATGGCTGAAACTAACTTGCAGCTGTTTACTGTTCCAATAACTTTAGTCCTCCCCTATCTAAACTGACATAGTACAAATCCACTGGGGTTTACCCTTTGTCAATTTGACATCAATATACACCACTTGACCATGCTTAAATTCAAATTAAGGTAACAACAAAATTATGCTCCTGCCTAACATAATGCAGTCATTCTTGCACAACTGAAAATATACCAACTCTTGCCTCAAAGGAGGATATATTATTTTTATCTGTCTTTATAGATGTTAATTATTCTTGCTGAGTTATATTTCCCCTTTAATATTCTCAGTAACTTATTTACTGAAATATACAATTAACTATTATGCCATATTATGTTAGATGGCAGGAGACTGAGAGAGAAAAAAGTGCCAGTTACACACAAAATCCTCATATCAAAATAAAGAATAAATATGCAGAACTTTTAGGGGCTGTATTAGTCCATTTTCATGCTGCTGATAAAGACATACCCAAGACTGGCTAATTTATATATGGAAAAGACTTTAATGGACTTACAGTTCCACGTGGCTGGGGAAGCCTCACAATCATGGCAAAAGGCTAGGAGGAGCAAGTCACAGCTTACATGGATGGCAGCAAGCAAAAGGAGAGCTTGTGCAGGGAAACTCGCCCTTGTAGAACCATCAGATCTCATGAGACTTGCTGGTATTAATAACTATTTTATTCTACTACCAGTTCTGTAGTCACTTGGACATAAACAAGCTTCTCTGCTGTTCATGGATTTTTGCCTGGTAGTGAGACTCAAACTTTCAACATGCAGATGTTTCAGGTGCAGGTAATTTAAAGGCTATACTTTAAGACTAACTGATTTATGGATTTCCTCCACCATAGTCACTAATAAATCGGGTTTATAAATGCAAGGAATATACTACCTCTTGGGAGAGTCCAGCAAATTAACAAAACAACAGAACAAGAATATGCCATATATATATGTACACATTTGTATGTTCCATGACATGTAGAAAGTATAGCACAACCTTGGCATTTCTTTATATGCCTACTAATTTGGGAGATAACTCTTCAAAGCAAGTTGTCATCTACCACTAAAGCATAAGCAAGGGCAAGGCAAGAACAGCTAGGCTATAATATTGACAGGTAGATGTCACTCACTATCTTAAAGTTTCACATGTAAATATCACTCTCCCTTCAATGGTCATATTTATGCCTCACAAAATTATAAATTCAATGCCATTGTTGTTTTCAAATAGTTGAAACTGAATTTTATACATAGTACATATTTACTAAGTAAACAAAAAATCTTATGTGTTCAATGCTAAGAAAGTAAGAAATTCATGGGGAGGAAAGAGTCAGAGCAGAGGTTTTCCCCCAACAAATGGATACAATTCTATCGTTCCTGACATGTGCTGCTATTATTAAGACTATACTCTGCTAAATATTATAATTAGTAAATAATCTGCTTTTTTCTTCTGGTAGTCTTTAAGATTTTCTTTTTATTTTTGATCTTTCATAGTTATTATATATTTGATCTATATGTATATTTATTTTTAGTTTTTGGTATTTGATCTGTGCTTTTTGGATCTAAGGCATCCTCTGGGAAATTAAAGCAATGATTTCTGCAACTTCACCATTGTTTCTTATGTTTACTTCCAGAATTATTGACTCTTGTTGAGATCTCTCAATCTAGTCTAAATATCTGTGGACAGAAAGTCTTTTTGTTCCTCTTTTGTCCTTGGGAATAGACTTTTGAAGTGGAACATTTTTAGTGCCCTCTGACTTATAAGAATCAAAATCCAATCATCGTTGTCAACCTCAAAAACCAAAGAAAATCATACTGGTATCCTTGATTTTATGTATTATTTCAAGTTTATGTTTAATTTTCTGATCAAAGATCAAACAAGATCAAATTATCTTGTTTTTCAGAGAATTCATGACTTCTTGTTACTGCTATTTTTACCCTTATATTTTCTTATCACTATTATGTGTTGGGAACAGAGAGAATATATCAGAGTGATCTTACTCCACAATCTGAGCCAGAATTCCATTAAATCAACTTCTAACCCTGTATTTATTATTTATTATTTTCTTTCCTTTAGACACATTTCTTATTTTTGAGGTTTTTTTTCACTTTCCTTTTCTGTTTCCTTCCTCTTCTTCCCTTGAAAACTTTCTCATTAAAGTGTAAGCCTTCAATTATGTATCTTTTTTTTGTTGTTTTGTTTTTTTAGGTGAAGTCTCACTCTGTCGCCAGGCTGGAGTGCAGTGGCACGATCTCGGATCACTGCAATCTCCACCTCCCAGGTTCAAGCGATTCTCCTCCCTCAGCCTCCCAAGCTGGGATTACAGATGCATGCCACCACACCCAGCTAATTTTTGTATTTTGAGTAGAGACAGGGTTTCACCATGTTGGCCAGGCTGGTCTTGAACTCCTGACCTTGTGGTCCACCTTCCTTGACCTCCCAAAGTCTTGGGATTACAGACCTGAGCCACTGTGCCTGGCCCAATTATATATCTTAAACTTGCATTTATATGTATATATCCTGTTCAGAGGCATTTCCTTTTTGTTCATGTAGCAAATCTCTTGTTGGATTAATATGTATTATGTTTGATGACAGCTGCATAGTTGTATTTGCTTAGAGTAGAAATGAGAGTTGAGAGTGTTTGGAAAAAAATAGACAAGTTTTAAATGTTAAGGGTAATAAACATGCTATATGAAATAGAGCAGAGAGAATATGTAAGTCTTAAATATTTAAAAAAGCACAGCATCTCATGGTCAAATCCTACCCATATTCTCTCTGAGGAGTTAAACCCAAACTAAAAACATTAAAAAAAAAAAATCAGAGAAAATGCTACTTTGAACAATTAAATAGGTAATGACAGAATTATATAAACATAAATTTTAAAAGAATCAAAAATAGAGTGAAAAAGTGGAGCAAACAGAAAGACCTGTGTAAAATTAATTCCCAGGACAAGAATGTTCAAACATGATAATAGCATTAGGCAGGCAAAGAGAAATGTGTGTCATCCTGGACAAGAAAAGAAATATGCAAATGTATTCTTCACTCAAGGGTCTGCATGTTAACAAGCACAGCATAGCAACTAATCAGTCTCCAATATCCTAGTGCGTTGTCTCCTGCTATAGTAGTAATGACCTACATTGTGCTGTTTTACTGAGATATAAATATGTAAATGGAGAAATTTTGCACAATTATTTTAGGACACCAGGTTATTTAAAACGTATAAAAATACTAAATAATGGGTAAGAATGGCTCTGGGTTCTAATGTGTTTTTTTGTTCCTTAAGAAATTAATGATCCCTTTAATCTTTTGCAGTTTTCCTCCCACAAAAAAAAAAATAGAAAAAGTAAGCCTGTAATGTCTTTTTAGGAAATTCATCTTTCCGCAGGGAGAAGTAACAGCAAACAAAGAAACAAGAATATGTTTAGCACAGATCATGCCAACCCAGATGGGAGATAAAAATTGCCACCTTTTCCATATAAACTAGTAAAAAAATGTACACTAAATTGTCTTGAAAATAAAATAAATGAAGTGAGAACTGAATTACTAAAGTTAACAAATATGTATTGAGTATCTAGTTTTGTCAGAGATTTGGTATAAATCAGTAGGCAAAGCAAAAACAGATGTCTTTCTTCGGGGAACACACATTTTGGTAAGACAGGACAAAAAGTTAACAATAAGCACCATAACTGTACATTAAGTATATAGTATGCTAGAAGGTGTTAAAGGCTATAAAAAAATAAACAAGTAGTTCATACAGATTGGCAGCACTGGGGCTGAGGGATAGTTTATATTCTAAGGAAGATGCAGGGTCAGCCTTACTGAGAAGACAGTGTTTGAACAGAGATGTGAAGATGAAAGTATAGGGTACTTAGATTTTTGAGTAATAGGAGTTCCAGGCAGAGGCCAAAACTGGTACAAAGGTGTAGATGCAAGAGTATTCCTGGTGTGTTTGGGGAAGGAGAGGAACTCTGGGGACCGAGTGGATTGAATGAGAGGTAAGTTGAGGAATTAGTGGAAGTAAAGTTGGAAAAGTAATGTTATTCATATCATTTGGATAGGGTTTTTCATACTAGGTCATTCTTTGTTGTGGGAAAATTTTTGAAAAAGATTCTTTGCTTGAGCAAACTTGAATCAGGTTTTTGAATCCTCTGGTAGGCCAGCCCATCTGTGCACTTCCTTGTAAAATCCACTTTTAGCAAAGAACCCTGACAATTTAGCTTAGCAAGAACCACCCATCCTCAAGATCTGATCATCTTCAATATTGGATTAGGTTCTTCATTTACCACTATCCCTCACTTGATGTCATCACTGTGGCCTGGCTTCAGCACGAATGTTGTTGAGTCAATTCAGCCAGAATCCTCCTTACCCCGATGTTTCTTTTTAGCAATTTTTCATCCACCAATCCCCACCTGCTCCTTGACTATAAATTCCTACTTCTCCATGCTGTATTCAGAGTTGAGCTCAATGTCCCTTCCCCACTGCGAGATCCCATTGCAGTGGTCCCAGTGCCTATTGCAATAGTCCTGGATAAACTCTTAGTTACTAAGCTTTAACAAATGTCATTGAATAATTTTTTAACAGTTATGGTGTATCCCAATATGATTCATATTGTGAATCACCAAGCAAGGTATAGATTATAACTTTTCTCAAACCAATTTGTATATGGATTTATTCCTTTATAATCTATGTGTAACATCTTATGAGTCTAATATTTTAGGGAAAATGCTTTGAAATAAGTTAATGGGTCCCAAAATCTACTGCAATTTCAAACTTAGAAAATTCAAATTTTTATATCTTCATATTATTTGATCTTTTGAGAAAAACAAATGTCCTGCTTCTTAAAATCCTTACTGTTTTGGTTCTGAGTACTCATTTTTTTTTATTTAATCATATTTTCCTAAGTTTTATATATATGTATGTATATATCTGATCTGTAAAACAGAAATTTCATAAAATTATATTTTCAGCATGTTTACAAAATGATCCACATAAGATCTTTCTTCATTCCCACCACCATCATTATTTTCTGTATATGCATGACTTCAAGTCTAGTTTTACTTCTGACCTCCTGATTTTGAGTTTAATGAATTTTGACCTATTTGCATATTTCCATCTGCAAATTGAAATGTCTTGAATTGTATTTTCTTCTACTTCTTATTTTTCTTACTGTTGTCACTGTCAGCATCAAAATACTTTCAATCTTCCAGGTTAAAAATATAAAAATAGTTTTAGTTTCCCTTTTCATTTATACATAATATTCAGTTGGACTCCAAATTTTGCTGCTCTTAGCTTTAGTGTTTCTTGAAAGTTTTATTTTTGTTACAATTTTTTATTTCTGTCCTGATTTTCCTTAATCATTCTTCTTATGAACTATTAACAGAATTTTGGCTAGATTTTCTGTTTCCAGCCTTCTCTGAATAAATCCTTCAATTCTATTTAGATATCTCAAATTTTAGAGTTTTAACTTTCTGCTTAACAACTTCCATAACAGTGTTTTGCCTTTAAAAATGATCAATGCTGTAGTTAAGAGCATTAAAGTCCTATATGTTTGAGTAATATATATATATACACACACATATATTTTAAAATTTTCTTTTTTTCTTTATGTATTTCTCATCTATACACATATCTAATTTCCCATGAATACTGAACTGTCACTATCCTCTTCAGAGGATAGTGATATCATCTAGTATGCCTTACCTATTGTTATGGGTTGAATTTCATCCTCCCTAAATTCATGTATTAAAATTCAAACCCCAATATATCAGAATATGTCCATATTTCTAGATATGGTTTTTAAGGAGGTAGTTAAACTTAAATTATGTCATTATGGTGGGGCCTAATCCAGTATAACTGATATCCTCATAAAGGGAGAAAATTTGGACAAAATTGACTATAGATGTACAACCATGTGAAGGCACAGGGAAAACACGACCGTTTACAAACCAAAGACAAAGGCCCCAGAAGAAATCAGTCTTGCTGACACCTTGATTCCAGACTTCTAGCTTCCAGAATTATGAGAAAAAATAAATACGTTTTTTTAAAGCCACCCAATGTGTGGTACTTTGTTATGGCAGCCTTAGCAAACTAATTCCAACACATTTCTCAGGTGTCCATAGGCAGCTCTTCCCCTTATCTTTCCACTTTCTTCTACTGGGGACTTAAGTTTTTAAAATGCTGATCTAATTTTTGAAAGGTACTGATCCTCTGTTTTCTGCTCTGGTTCTCTGTCTGTTCTACTTGTTTAGAGGTTAAGGTTGGTGGTCTTCCTGCTGCTGTTTCATGAGTTGCTATAATTGAGGCAGTTGTGGTATTTCCCCATCAACAAATGTTTGGGTTGTTTACACCAGATCTTTCGTTTGAAATACCTCACTGACTGGGTTCTTATAGGAAGCTTGTCATAGAGGGATAATACAGCAGATCATGTAGTGTACATTAATGATATTAATGCAGCTACATTCGTTCAGCACAGGGTGTACTTTGGTAGGATATGTCAGCTCAGCAATTTACTCATCAGCAAAAAAAAAGCTTTTACTTTAGTTATTAAGAAAGTAGATTTGTGTGTTTCAACAGTTGACACGGGCAATTGCGTGTAGCCCTGGTCACTGACAATTTGAAATAGAAGTATTATGATCATCTGGGTACAGCTTTACAGAATAAAGAACCATTTTAGTTATCTACACATAGTATATCATCCTAAAATCTTGCAGTCAATGACCACTTACTTGTTAACATACCATTCCTGATAGTGGTCACCTTCTAGTTCAGCTTTTGCCTTATGTTGTTCTAAAAGCTGAGAGTGTCAGTGACTAGAGGAAATATTTGGCTTCAGAGTGTGATAAACACATATCAACGGCTTGCTGCTTTATGCAGCCTGCTCTCGTCTCTCGCCACTTTTTTAGCACGAGACATTATTAGCACTAGTCATTTTAATAATGATTATAGCATAAGCTTGAAAACTGAGTGAACTTAGAAACCTATATAGACATTCTTCCTGTCAATTCAACAACCTGGAGTGCTGGGATTCTGGATGGGAATCTTATACTAGGACTGTCATCCACAATAATTAACCAACCAAATTCACCAGTCATATTGCTATCTTTTAGCTCCCCCAGGCAGCCTCTAACAGAAATTCTGTTCCCCTAATGTGCACTGTACCCATATATCATTGTGTCTTTGCATATGCTTTTCTATAAATCTGTACTTATCAAAAGTGATCTGATAATTTTATAATCACCACTTTCTTTCTACTAAAAAAATCTTTGCATTAAAAACAGGTCACTTCTCTAGCGATCCAAAATACTTTGTTTCTACTGATGTGTTTATCAATCTACTCACTATAGTAAAATTCATTACTCACATGTCTTTTTATCCTTTTAGATTGTAAGCAATATGGTGCTCTTGAAGTATATAGATTTTGAGATAAAATACTCTCTATATGACTTTGTGACTATATTAACTTTTTTGAGTCTTCTTCATTTGTAAAATAGTAAACAAAACTTCTCATATATACTATAACTTTGATGGGATTTAACAACAAAGTGTTTGGAAAGTCCACTGTACTTAAACTCCAGAGACATCTACAGCTTTCTTTATATACACTCCTCAGAATATAAATACCAGCCACATACTTCACATACTGGGTACTTAATAGGTATTGTTGAACAAAAGAGTGAAGTTTCATTTCCTTTTCATTCTGTTTCAATGAAAATACAGACCAGCATTTATTCTGTATGACTGATTTTTGTACTTTTCAGCACAATATCCTATGAAGAACACTCAGTAATTGTCTGTTGAGTTATAAACCACAAAGGTTTTCACAACAAAAGTAACAAATTTAGTTGACTTTTCTAATCAGTTATTCCAAAATGACTTTTCTTTTTTAAAATCATTTTTTAAGAATTCTGTTCATAGCTGTAAGGCCAGATAACAATCATTAGCATTTATTGACCTTTAGCAGTAGTAATTTAATCTTTGGGGGAATAAAGTTGATTAATCACAGCTTGACATATTGAAATTTGGCATAATTCTTTCCCAAAAGTGCTTATAGGGCAGCAAGTTCTAGGGCATTTAGTATAATAACTAAAGCACATATTACAAATAAAATGTGTTCAAAAAAGTCTTTTTGAAATTTAAGGTCATCAATTTTAGTAAAGTCCTTCAATCCTGGAATAGCCTTGCAATAGTACAGATAATTGATCATATGTTTTAATCTCATCTCCATTCAAAAATTTCAGAAAAAGTGTGGCTAATAATTTAAGTAAAAGAGAAAGGGCAAATGCATAATAAAAACTAGATTTCAAAAGACTCTAACAGTGGGTGGAAGGAAATTTTTAAAAATATGGCCGATATTAAAAATTATATCACTTGACAAACATTTAACATCCTATCTTAACATGAAGAGGCAGAAACACTAAAAACTATATTTTTGGTGCCAATTAGAGAATCTCATAAGATTTCATCAATAACATATACTCACAGTAAACTTAAATTTGGAACGTAGTCAAATGGGGCAAAGGGATGGAACTGGGCATTCGTTTTGCATACTGAACTAGAGGCAGTAAAATTCTGGTAGATCTCCAATTCAGCAAAAACTTCTTTCTGATTATAGCAGACAGGTTGTCCTAGTCCATTTGTACTGCTATAGCAAAATGCCTGAGACTGGGTAATTTGTAAGCAAGTGAAATGTGTCTCTTGTAGTTCGGTAGGCTGGGACATTCAGGATCAAGACTCCAGCATTCACAGTTTGGCGAGACCCTTCTTGCAGCATCCTCATATGGTGTAAGGGCAAAAAAGGGCCTAGCTATTTCCTTCCAGCCCTTCTCTAAGGTCGATAATCCCACTTATGAGGCCTCCATCCTCATGACTCGAACATCTCCTAGATGTCTCACTGCTTAACACTATTGCATTGGAAGGTGAGTTCTACTATAAATTTTTGAAGAAGACACAAGCATTCAAACCCTAGCATAAACCATGGATATGGAAGCAATATTTTTATCAGAAATCTCCAAAGTTGGTAGGGTGATTATTGGTTCTACACCAATAATTCTACAGCTTCTGATTATGATAGGGAACAGCTTCTAAGGAAACCCATTGCAGAACTGTGGCTTTAGAAGTCCGGGATCAGCCTAGAGTAAGTTTTTCAACCACCCAAATAATTTAGTAAGCTAGCAAAAGCTATGAGATAAATTGTCCATCTTTATGCTAGCTGAAATGGATTTTATTCTAACCTGTATTCTATTTAACTGAATAATTGAATCAGAAATTTATTTAACAGCACGCAAAATATAGAAAATTGGGTTTCGTTTTCTGGATAGTTAGGTTGAAAGAGAATCAAGAGTACATTATAGATAGGATATTGACTTTTCATATTATACAGTGACAAAAGAATTAATTCATTATCTCTACATCTAAAATGAAGTTTCTGTTGAAGGAGATGCTTTATTAGATATGACAGCTGCTATGATAAAACCTTATAGTGAAAATGAAGCTTATCTTGCAGATTAAGTTACAGTGGATTTTCAGTGCTTAGTTTTACCTGGTTACCTACATTTTATTTGAAAGTTAGTTAAGAAAACACTTGACTCTGGAAAGTGCAATGAGGACATTTGGATGGAATTAAATAATGGTGAATATCACAATGTTCTCAGAGTCTCTGAGACTTCCTTCTCATTATAAGAAGCTTTTCTGTCTTTGCTTTGAAAGGCTATCCTTGTTTATCTTGTAATGGCCTCACTTAAGGTCAAGCCTTCACCAGACACTCACAGGAGATACCAGGTTTCCCTACTTCTCACTTCCATCACTCCTCATAGCCAGTAAACTCCAACCTGCCACTTGATGGCCAAGAAAATATCTGACCAAAAAAAATAATGATAATTTTACATAGTAAATAACACAGTATTTTGCTTATCTTCAGAAGTAAAAAAAATATGGGGGAATGTATATGAGACTAGTTGAAAATAAACATAATATTAAATTGAATTACCTTATGGAAATGAGAGTTTGAGAAAAGTTAACAAAGCCTATGGATTACATATCCTAGTTGATACCACTGAGGATGGTATCATATCTTTTCTTGGTTAGTACATTGAACCAAGAATCAAACTTAATCTATGATTATTGAAATTGTCGTGCCTGAAATTCTTTGTATTATAAACTGAAAGAAACTCCAAAACTTGGAGAGAGATAAATGTTAAATATAATTCATAATATATGAATTTTTCATAATTATGTATCCAGTAGGCCAAGGAGTTGTTTAATTCACAATGAGATTGAGAAATATATCATTTAAAACACTGTAGTGATTATTCCCTATAGCACAACAATAAATACGTGAGATGATTGAAAGTGGCTAATTAATTTTAGTGAGGATGATGGGATCCTAGAGTGTCAGGAGCAAAGAACCATCATCTGACATCTACAGGTGATGTAATTTCTCACTTAAAGAAAGATTTGGCCATTTAACTGTGTAAATATGCACTCAAGGAAGAAACATTTCCAGTTATTTGGTTAATACTTCACATTGTATCTGAGCTATCAGTAATCCGTAATGATTCAGAAGATGAACACTGTGGTCCACCAGTCAAAGTCCATGATGGAATGACTCTATCTCACCATGGGTTTTCTTTTCTTTTCTTTCTTTCTTTCTTTTTTTTCTTAATGGAGTCTCACTCTGTTGCCCAGGCTGGAGTGCAGTGGTGTGATCTTGGCTCACTGCAACCTCCACTTCCCGGGTTCAAGCATTCTCCTGCCTCAGCCTCCCAAGTAGCTAGGATTACAGGCGTGTACCACCATGCCTGGCTAATTTTTCTATTTTTAGTAGGGACAGGGTTTCACCATGTTGGCCAGGCTGGTCTTGAACTCCTGATCTCAAGTGATCCACCCACCTTGGCCTCCCAAAATGCTGGGATTATAGGCCTGGCCTATAGAAAACCACGCCTGGCCAGGTTTTCTATATTCATCAATTTAACCAATGAGTACTTTCTCAGATCCTGAATACGTTATTCATATACATATATTTGACATTTAACAGAAATACAAGCTTGTTTTCCTGACCTTAGACGTAAGTGTTATTACAGTAAAATGAGAGAAATGGAACCTCTAGAACTTAACTTCCTTAACAAAAGAGCAAAGTGATAGCAATACAACATTTCTGGGTGAGCTGCATAAATAAGTGCTATTATTGAACACCTGAAAAGTGTACATACCATACCCATATTTAGCTTACTTAACTGGTCTGTACAGACGTGTCCTGAAAAATTACTGCGGAGAAAATTAATGCATCCCCTGATATGCAACTCTCCATCTGCTAACGGCTTTTTCTCCATTCTTTAAGAGAAAGCACCAGATGTAATTTGATTAAATCTATCAGGGAACAGCAGTAGACCCTCATTTTCTTACCTCTGTGTTACATCAACTCTCCTATTAAAGGTCCGAATTAATCCAGAGGGACACTGATCATTTCACTACTCTCAAACATAGCGTATTGGTCTATAACATTTATAATGTCAAGACCTGGTGAGAAAAAAAGGAGCTATCCTGAATGAGTTGGCAAGACTTACACATTCTGAATGCTGAGAGAGATAAGTCTCAGAGTCTGCCTTCTAAATAAAGTTTCAAGGAGTCATTGTGTGTACATGTATGTGTGTGATATTTCTTCCAAGGTAAAAAAAATAAAGATCGTAGCTCCATTTACCCACTACTGCTAAAATAGAAGCACAGTGATTGTTAGGACGTTTTTAATTTTGGAAACAAAATATACCATATAGTTGTATTGTTATGACCCATTTTACTGGATAAATTGAAAGACTGCTAGTTTTTATCAGACCTTAAATCAAGAAGATGCTCTCCACCTTGTCCAGAGTTCACTTCAAGCAGCTCAGTCACCAGTATTGAAGACTCAGTAGACCAAGTTGAAAAGACAGGCGTTAAACATCACAAGCATTAGTTAAGCTGTAAAGCAAACACATAAATAAATGTTTATTAATTGCTTTGTAAAATAAGTTGAAAATTTACTGTTACAATATAACAAATGTGACTATAGAGAAAAAAGATATAGAAAAGAAATATAATGTGTACAATGTAATCTCATAGATTTAAAATGGATAAAGATTGATGATACTTGAGAAATAAAAAGTATTAAATAAAAGGAAAATATCATGGATAAAAAACTGCTATAGTGATTACACATAAAACTTTCAAGTATTTGTTTAGAGAATGACATGAAGTACTTATTCTATACTTATGGATTGATCTAGAGTACTTATTTATACTTATATTTGTCAACAACTTGTTGAATATTTACTTGCCAGAGATCTTTCATTCTCATTTTGCCTCTTTACTTAGCTCAACACAAATACTTGTGCAGAATATTCTCACTATTGTGCTGCAGAGAGAGGTGGAGGTTCTCTGCAGCATATAATATAAAGCACATATTTTGATATGTTTTTATATTATATGTAGATAGTGATGAACCATAAATGATGTCTTCTACCAAGCAATGATCATGACTTCCAGATGGAGATAGGAAAATTTACTGCTACAAGCCCTGGGCAGAGGTGATAACATAATTTTCACTCAGGTGAAGACTAGATATTTAGCTGGTGTGGACTCTGACCCTCCCTCCCGCCACACACACTCCTGTGCTCTGAATCATGACCTTTCCTTAGCCTGATTGCTCAACATTATCTTCCAAAGTAGTCACTCTTAGATCATTCTCTCATCTTAAGGTTTCACTATATTCCAGTCATACTTGTTTCTATCCTTCCACACAAGTATTTTTCACTTTATTCATTCATAATAGCTTATGATGGAAAATGTAGTTGAAAAAGTGCATTGCTTAGTTTAACTACAAGTCATATCAATAAAGGAAGATGATTCTTCCTTAAACAAAGGTAAGAAAGTTTCATTCTTCATAAAAAAAAATCAGCAAGGTATCAATTCCTAGACACAAAATAAGGGAGACACTTCTTTCTATCCAGGGTATATGGTTCTTTCTGTCAGAACTACTCAAATAATATTTTCTAATGCACCAACGTAAGGGTAAAAATTAAATTTCCCTTGCAAGACTGTTTGAGCATTCACATTCTGCTGCACAGCTAAATATTTTGGTTTTGTTTTAGAAAACCTGAAGAGAATTTTTCTAGTCATAAGGAAAACATTCTTTTGGAAATTAAAATGATATATATTTTCTTAATATAACCAAGTAATAACTTGAGAAGGGTGTTTTGATTATTAAAAATGCCTGTTTTATATACATAATACATTACTTACATGAACTGGAATTTTTTATGACCTAGGGAATACTGAGTTGTATAAGAATTATGTTGGATTTTTGTTAGATAAATGCAAGTGAGAGAGGGGCAAGAGAGTTTCATTGGATAGTTCTTGTTGTAGTCACTGAGTGGTTTTGTCGACAGATGAATGCTAAGTGGTTATAGTTATTTGTGAGTGCAGTATACAACACTTTGAAACAAGAACAGCATAAAATTAAAGTGCTTTCATACAGAAAAAAAAAAACCTACCAACAGGGTAAATAAACAACTGACAGAATGGGAGAAAATATTCACCAACTATGCATTTGACAAAGTTCTAATATTCAGAATCTATAATCTACAAGGAACTTAATCCAATGAACAAAAAATAAACAACTCCATTAGAAAGTGGGCAAAGGAAATGAACTTGTTTCCCACCATGAGAGGATTCACTGCATCTTGATTAAGGTTAATAGTTAAGGTTAGTTTGTATAATTTTATTTCAGACAATCTATTAATTAAATCCTATTGGGTGGAGCTGCCAATTAGCCATTAACTTCTAACAAAGCATATATGAAATGGCCATGAATAAATGATTAACAGCTTTTTGAGACATACAATTTGTGGTACTAACTTGTTGATGGTTTGCTAATATTTTTATTTTCTTTTTCGTAACTTTAAAATTATTTAACTGTACCCTTCTTTAAATATTACTTTTTATATTTCTGAAACAATGCTTCCTCCATGACATTTGTCTTTGAGCATTGATAATAAGTATCCCTTTTGTTATTTATTTTTGTGCATTTAATAAGTTAACTATAACTTTTAATACATGCATCTTTATCAATTCTCTGATCTCTAAATTACTTCTTTATATTTGTAATCAAAGTGCACCATTTATTATTAATGAGGTTCCATGAAGAATGAGCAAACTGTCTAAAATGTGTTCTGCTTTTTATATAATAACCTATTTTATTTTCATTAAAATTTGGAAGTAAGCATTATATTTCCAGTTTTACAAATGAAGAAAAACTATCTTCCCTTTTTCTTCTCTTCTCATTGCCTCCTCCTGTCCCACTCCCATAGATATAGAGGGATGACCACAACCATTGAAAATCCCATTATATGTAAATACCCAAAAGAGGGCATTCACTGTTGATGAGAACTAAGGAATCAATTAGACAAAATAACTTGGCCAGTTGATGGTCACCAACTACCGTTATTGGCTATCCTAGAGTTAGCACAGAAAGCGTAAGAATGAAATAAGTATGATAGCAGTAATGGCAGTATGCAGTATCCTTACAGCATGAATTCCAATAGTGAAGTTATTACCACTTTTGATGTTCAATCTCTCAGCAACAAAAACACACACTGAGTCTACAATCCTTGAAGAGAGACTCTGGATACTTGGTGGCAAATGGACTCTTTTGGATTTCTTCTACCATAGAAGGGGAAGCAGTCCATTTTTGAAAGGAAGAAACACATATTCCAAGAATATTAATTATGTTCCTGCATTCTGACCCTTAAGTAGCGTCTGTCCCCAGAGACTTAGAAATTTTTTTATTTACCTGCACAGAATTTCACATGACATGTCAGATCAATGCACTTACTTTACACAAAAAAGATGCATGAATACACCCATGTCCATGGTATCCATTGAGTATTTCACAGTAATGACATCCAAAATCTAGAGGCCGATGGGAGCAATGGAATACCTAGCCAAATGCATGGCAAAAGCACCAGCTTGATACTAATATTTTATGAGTGAGATACCACCCTGCAGAATATATCAAAGACTTTTAAATGGTGATGCATCCCAGCAGGAAGAATGCATGGTTCAGAATTCAAGAGCTGGAAGCAAATATAGGCCTACTTTTTAAAATGATTTTTTTTATTTTCAGTTTTTATGGGTACATAGTGTGTGTATATATATATGAGGAATTATCCCACTTACCACCATCCTATGTAGTGTTCTTGGGATCAATATAGGTGAAAATTATAGTAAGGAGGCAGGATTAGGCAGAAGGAAAATCTGACTTGTGTTACATATTCAGCAAATAGCTTTGGATGGTGCAATTGAAAGATCCCTTAAGAGTTTTCCCATTTCAGATGGAGAGAGCAATGGACAGACTAGGGAAGAGGCATGAGTGAAGTACTGAAGTGATTCTTGTGGGTTTGGAGATTTTTTATTCTAGAGGGGAAACTTTTCTATTGTGGGAAATACAGCAAGAAAAACTACCGCTTTTGTTTAGGTATTTCAAGGACTTAGTGCCAAGGGTCCGGCAGGCAAAAAGGGAATTCTTCATCTTGTCAGAGAGAACTGAACCTGATTATCAAGAGGAGGTAGGGAGGAATGTATTTGACATTCAGGTAGGCTATTTTTGTGCTTTTTGATACTCCTTTACCTAATTTTGATGTTTAGTGAATAAATCCAGCAACAGTGAGCTACAAAGATTATGTGACTTATGGCTCAAGTTTCTCAGGTATGAGGATGCAAGTCATGCCACCAATAAGCCCACAAAGACCATTAGAAGTTCTGTGTGAGCATAAGTGGAATCTGAGACAGTAGAGGAAACTATGAGTATTGGTTATAGCTCCAAGGGCAGCTGCAATGCCAGGGGCTCTATCTAGTTCAAAACCTAACCTGTCTTACTTCAGTTTCACCCAAGAAATGATACATGAGAGGGCTGAAAGAAATGTTTCTGAACTCTGTATGAAGAGTGTATCTGAGCAGTACAAGAGTGGACTGTGGAGCAAGCTATGATGTACTATGACTCCACTACTGAGGATACTGCCAGAAAATTGCTCTCAGCTGTCAGTCCTCTTTTCACTGATAAAAAAGTACATCACCTAGGGTCAGACCTCTTTCCTTGGACAGTCTTCATTCAGTGACTAATCAACCTAGATTAGTCCCCTTGTACGATATTGGAACGACACTGAAGGGGGCTCCCTATTGGGCCAGCCACATCATTATTGAGCCTGCACCCATAGCTTGGCCCAATCCTGCTTTCTTACTCTCTTGTTTCACAGCTACAAAAATCTAATAAAACTCTTGGGTGGTAATTGCCATCTCAATGTCTGCTTTTTGAGCAATCCAACTTAAAGCACTTATAAGAAATTCATTGTGAGGCTGGGCGAGGTGGCTCACGTCTGTAATCCCAGCACTTTGGGAGGCAGAGGCAGGAGTCGGGAGTTCGAGACCAGTCTGACTAACATGGAGAAACACTGTCTCTCCTAAAAATACAAAATTAGCCAGGCGTGGAGGTGCATGCCTGTAATCCCAGCTACTCGGGAGTCTGAAGCAGGGGAATCACTTGAACCCGGGAGGCTGAGGTTGCAGTGAGCCGAGGTCACGCCATTGCAGTCCAGCCTGGGCAACAAGAGCGAAAGTCCATTTCAAAAAAAAAACAAAATTCACTGTGTACCCAGCAATATTCCAAATATTAAATATATGTACTATATATAATATATGTACACAATATTACATATAATATATTTTATATATGTGTATTATATATGTAAATTCCCTTTGTCAACAGAAACATGTATATGAACGTATTATTTAATCAACTAGATAAGAAGGCTATACAATATTATAGAAAAGGTCATCAACATAAATTAAACAATGTTTTTAAGAACTAAAAATAAACTATACATCATGTATATAGACACTCATTTAAAAATTATTACAGTATTTTTTTAAATTACTACAGTATTATGTGTATTATTGTATTGTATTATACAGTATTATGTGTATTATTGTAGTCTCTGTAGTCATAATCATTTGATGTTATAATAACTTTTTTGAACATATTTGCAGGGAATTCAGATTTTCTTTGGTGTGAAAAGTATATATGAAAGGTAAAATAACCTTATTTTTTCAGTACCTGAAAAAGTTTTTGCAGGCATGAAGGTTATTTGTTGTAATATTGGCTCTATTCTTCATATCTGTGATAGAAAAATAGAGAGGAATATGAAGTAGTATTTTCTAAGAATTCAACAGTACTTTTTATTATTAGCTCTTCATCATAGTTGCTAATACTAACTCCTTTATTTCCATCAAGGAAACATTATTTTGAATAAATACTTTTTAATGCAATGTTAATTTATACTAACATGAAAGTGAAAATAAGGTGTGACAGAAACTCAGTAAGGATTCTTCAGGAGGATAAAGAAACTGTAGAAATTAACACAGTTTTATTTTAAAATTAAAATGCATTCAATTTAGAAAAAAAATTAGAAAAATAACTTTCTTTCAGTAGCAAGTTTCTTTGGAGTAAATTGTTCCAATTTAGAATTTTCTTTTGTTATGATAGCAAGTAGAGAAAAATGCCAAAGGTGATAAAATGCATAAGCCTTAGATAAAAATCACTGCTTTACTATTTAACCTTTTCTCCTCTCTCCAAGGTGATGTACAATAGATTTCCTTAAGAAATTGTAAGTAAAAATAACATTTATGCATGCAAGAAATGTATGTTTACTCTGATTTTTCCAAATTGACAGATAGCATCGTATGTTTTTATTGTGTACAACAAGATCCATTAAAGTATTCAGTGTAAATATACATTTTGGAATGTTTAAATCCAGCTAATTTACAAATATATCACCTCAAAAATTTTACTGTTTTTAAGATCAAGAACAAAATTTATTGTTTCCAAGTAATCAACTATTATTATTCCTTGGGCCTGAAGAAATTTTCAGTTTTATATTTATATAATTTTACCTAGAAAACAAAGTACTAATGCCTCTGAAAATTTCTTCCAAAATAAGAAGTGATTGTCCAGAGCTACATCAATGATACAACAGTAACTTAAATGACATAAATTTTAATGAGAAACATCACAAGTTATTTTATCAATTTGTTGAACATTTTAATAAATAAATGTAGTCTCAATATTTTTTTTCTTTATAGTATGGAGAAGAAGAAGAAAGAAATGTAAACTTCTATTATTTAGCTGAAAAAAGCATGGAATTATATATAGTCACATATGAAAACTTCTTCTTGCTTACTGCTATACAGATGAATAAAGGTTTACTTAAATTTATATAAATGTTATCCCTGGGAAAGATTTTTTTTGGATAAGATATGGTAATAGCCCTGTCATTATGCAACAATCACTATGAAAGTGTAAATCTAGGAGAAGCTGTAGTGAATAGTAGACTTCTCCCAGTATTTCATTCCTTTGTGTGTTCAACAAACAGTGCAGAGCCTTATCCAGTAGACATTTCAAAACTAACCTACATTTATCTTTTAAAATATGATTCCTTTGTCACATTATATAATTTATTTTTATATTATTTTTCCTCAGTGAGTAAAATAAAAAATATAATATACTTATATTGTACTCTGTGAAAACTTAAAAGTAAATAATAAATACATATTTGATTAATTTATTCAAATAAAATACAAATGCCTTAGGAATTCAGAAAAGTATATGTATTCAAATGAGCTAGATTAGCTATATGGAATGTAAGTCCTGAGTTCTTACACTTTGACAGGAATTGTACAAGTAACATCACTTATACAGGCACATTGAAAGAATAGGTAAGTTGGCCAAGAATGGAAGAGGGAAAGATGAGTATTTAGAGAAAGGTAACAGTACTAACTGATAGGTGTGGTGACAAAGGCCGGTTTTAAATAAAGTGTTAGGACTGAGGAATACAACTGGAAAGGTTTGCTAGGACCAATTGTGGAGGGCTCTGGATATTAGGTGAGCTATGTTTATAAAAGCAGCTATGTTTTAGTAAGTAGTTACTATGTATTTTAATATATATTTCTATAAAAATTGTATAAACTCTAACAATTTTTTGATATTAAAAATGAAATTAAGAATACATTAATTAACTTGCTTGAGGTCATATGGCTACTAACTGCTACAAATAAAATTTATACCCAAGAAATCTGATGACAGAGCTTCTACTAATAACCACATAGTACATGGCCATTGAAATGCAGTTTGTCTGGACTGCTTGTTTTGTTATTAATTTTATATAGAATGTCTCTAGTTATTCTATAGGCAGGTTATCTTGGGTATTGGTTTTAAATATATGTTATCTATGATTTGAGAAAACATCGTTTTTAGTTTATGGTATTGTTCACAAATATAATTGAATTTTTAAAACAGCATTTATCCATATGATGTTTGCTACTAGAGATTAATGTTATAATTATAATTTTGTTCCTTATTTGATACTCATATTCATTTCTCACAAAATATATTATATAAATATATACATATATGAGATATTTGATTAATATTTATTATTTAAAGATATTTGTTATTTTAAAAATCAAATAAAAATTCACCAACATTTTACAGTGCTGAGTTTTCTATATGAAGTCAGCCAAATTAAGCCATAATTTAGTTTACTTATATTTTTATTTTTTACTTATGTTTATATAACAGATATATTCTAGTTATAAAAATGCCATTTATTATGGAAATATTAGAGTGAAAACAGGAAGTTTATTTTCAACACCCTCAACCTCCAAAATCAAGAGCCAACTTCCCTTGCCAGAAATAGCTATTTCCACCAGTTTGCCATGTATCATTCTGGAAGTGTTTGTGTGCATCTATAAATATCCTTCTGTGTATGTATACATATATAAAATAACTTCTATTTTATGAAAAGAGGGTTATATTTTGTATATTGCTTTCTGTTTAGATTTCCTTTAAGTTAATTTTATTGTACTTAGATTTTAAATATTTATAGATCTACATAAGTTTTATAAAGAACGCATTGTATTCTACATTATGCATGAAACAATTAACAATTTATCTATTGATGCTCATTTGGATTGCAACCATATGCATATTGTATTTTTATATGCAACATTGGATAATATAAAAATACTTAGCAAATGTGCATACAATTTAGCTTTTGATGGCTATTGTGATTAAAATTTCCCTTGAAGTAGAATTTATTATACTTCCATCAATATGCATATAACATACAAACAGATATATGTGTATATATATATACACACACGTATGTATGTATATGCTGTTGTCAAGCTTTAAAATTTTACCAATATTATTTCTCATTTTTTTTAAAAAAAGCACAGTCAACAAGTAACAAAGGCAAGTAATTATTGTATAAAATTTTACAATACATGTAACTGATGACTGAATAATATCAATCATATATAAAGATCTTGAATCAACAAAGAACAGTTAAATCACCCAGTAGTAAAATTGTCAAATAATACAAAAATACAGTTCAGAAAAGATAAGGACAAATACAAATAAGTATATAAAAACATACTCATATTGCAAGAAAATAGAAAACATGTAAATGTGTGTGTGCTTGTGTGTGTATGTTTGTGTGTATATGTGTCCTAAGTGGTTTACTATGCTTTCCCTTTACTAAAAAAAGGGTTTATTGTCTCTGTTATAGTGTCTTGTGAGAAATTAGAGTCCAAAAGAGTCTCAGACTTGAAGCCAATTCAAAATTATTTTCCAATTCTTTCCCACTGTACTGTCACCAAGCACACAAAGCTGAAGACTGGAGAAGTGTAGGTGTGTAGAAAGAATAATAATACCTATTTGAATAGATAAAAGTGTTAATGCAGGATATTTTATATATTATAAAAAAAAGGTAGAATAAAACTTAAAATGGTTTCTGTCTTTATTCATACCATTAGTAGTTATAGTATTTTCATACCATAGCTATATGTTTTAATTAAACTTAGCATATTAAATGTAGCATAAACTACATATTAGTGTTACAGCATCATTAGCTATTAATGTTGTTTTCTTGGTAGCAAAAGTAGAATCTTTATGTTCAATGGTTGAAAAAATTACATGAAATGTATTATTAGCAAACAGCAAAAATTACTGTATAATATGTAACGAGTTAAAAATATACAATATGGAATATATGCTAGTGAAAAGGTATAATTATTAATTACAGATTCTAGAAATGGTAATATTTCTTTTATCAAAATATATTAAATTAAAGTTTAAGTACAAATTAATTGTGAAGCCCCATTAATGTGTTAAGCCTATGAACTTTGCTTCATATGTTCTTATCCTTCAATAACAGATTATGGAATGGGCATTGGGTCAAGACAGCAAACTAGAAGCAGCTCATGAGTGCTGCTCTCACTGAGAGGAAACAAAAGGATTAGTGAACACTGACCCTACAAGCCAATCATCTAAGAAACCACATTGGGATCTATCAAGGCAGCATGGGGACACAGAGAGCACAGAGGAGCGAAGCTGGTCAGCAGCCTATCTGGGATGTACACAAAGCCAGGAGAAGCTCCCTAACACAGGAAAGTGTGAGTGAGTGAGAGGCCCCTGGGGGATTCAAACTCCCCACAGGTACCTGTGCAAGCCTGGTAACAGGAGAATAATCTTGGCTTCCACAGCAGACCCCTCACCCTGCCCGACCCCCACATGCTTCTAAACGGAGGCAGCAGCAGAGAAGCAACAGGAGATTTTGCAGAGGCAACTCTCAAGTCCAAGAGGACTTCTACAAGCCTTTGACCCCAGATCACACTGGCATCAATGCCAAAGCCCCAGTAGAGGCTACAGTTGCAGTGCTTGGGGCAGTAAGATTGCCCCACAAACCCCTTGTGAGATGACTCATCCTTGGCTTCGGCTTCTGGCCCAGATGTCCCACTTCTGTCTGAACTCAGTTGGCAGCTGCTGTTTCCTATTGTCCTGGGGAACACCTGGATGGCAGATTAGGTGACTATACCCAGCCCCCACCATTGGTAGCCAGAAAGGCAAAGCCTGATAAGGCTTCTATTCCAGGGGTCACGCTTCTGTCTGAAATCAGCTAGTGAACAGATCCTCTTGTTCTGGGAAACACCTGGACCTCAGGGTGGGTGACTCCACCCACCACCGCCTTTTGTAGCAGTCAGGCCACACCTGCTAGAAGTAGTAGTCCTAATTCTGCCTAAATTCTGCCAAGGAGTGCAGCCTCCTGTTGCCTCAGGAAGCACCAGCAAGGCAGAACAGGTAACTCCACTCACCCCTGCCTCTAGTAGTCAGATGACCCATACTGAACTAGAATTTCCAGCCCAGCAGTCTCTCGTCTCTCTTCTGTCTTAACGCTACAGGAAAGCAAATCCCCATGTTCCCCTGGGAGGTACCTAAACAGCAGATTAGGTGGCCCAACACACCCCCACAACTTATAGACAAATGGGACTTGCTACCTTGTAGCAAGTAGGGAGGAGCCCTCAGTCTCAAATAACAGAAAGGTAAAATGCCTGGTTTTCAGGCTGCTGGAGAAGCAGGGTGTGCCTCACTCTGTAGAGCTGACCTGGCAAGTATACTGCCTGCCTGCCAACAGTGGCCCCTGCCTGAGGGAACCATGTGGACAAGAACACCAAACAAAAGAAACATGGGCACAGAGCCAGTGATCAGAGGGGTCTCCTCCAAGGCCCAGGAGTGAGCTAGATGAGGGGATCATCTCTCCCTCCCCACAACAGAGTACTACTGCCAAGTGCACCAAGACACAAAAGAGCTCTGCAGCAGAGTAAGATCTTATCTGCTAGCTAACACTCTTAAGCACTACTTACTGGATTGCAGCCTAAAAGACAACACCAAAACATTTCACCAGTATATGGAATGTGTGAAAATTAAAACAAAGGCTCTCGCCAGCACCACTCTCCAGCCAAAGCATGTGCACCTAACTGCCCTGCCATGTCTGTTGGAATATGTGAGTGAGAAAAAATGCCACTGCCACCACCCAGATGAAACACTTTGGCTGGCACTCCATCAGAATATTGAGGCCAGTGGACCCAAAACACCTTGGCCCCTTCAACACAGCAGGTTCCTAACCCAAAAGGCAAGAGAACAAAGTTGGCAACCCATTATCAATCCCCAGAGTTAGAACATGAAGAACATGCAGCACAGGAGTGCTGAGCTAAGCCTTGGCTCAATGGACTATATATTTAAGTGTGTTTTTGTGGTGGCTGTTACTAGTCTTCTGATTTCATATTTATAACTCCCTGAAGGACTTCTTGTAAGGCAGGTCTGATGACAATGAATTCCCTTAGCATTTGCTTGTCTGAAAATGATCTTATTTCTCTTTCACTTTTCAAGCTTAGTTTGGCCAGATATGAAATTCTTTATTGGAGTTTCTTTTTTTTTTTAAGAATGCTAAATATAGGCCCTCAGTCTCTTTGTCTTGTAGGGTTTCTGCAGAAAGTTCCACTGTTAGCCTTATTGAGTTTTCTTTGTAGGTGACCTGCTTGTTCTCTCTAGTTGCCATATATATATATATATATATATATATATATATATATATATATATATATATATATATACACACACACACACACACACATATGTAATGGTAGACCTTGGAGAATCTCATGAGCATTTGTCTTGGGGGTAGTTGCAGTCTATAGTATCTCGCAGGAGTTCTCTGAATTTTTTCAATTAGAATGTTGACTTCATTTGTTAAATTGGGGAAAATTTCCCTGAGGATGCCCTCAAATATGTTTACCAAATTGTTTGCTTTCTTACTTTCTTTTTCAGGGACACCAGTGAGTCACAGATTCAGTCTTTTTACATAATCCCATATTTCTCAGAGGTTTTGTTCATTCTTTTTTCTTTATTTTTGTCTGACTAATTCCATCTGGAGAACCAGCCTTCCAGCTGTGAAATTCTTTTCTCAATTAGTTCTATTTTACTGTTAATACTTGCAATTGTATTACAAAATTCTACTAAATATTTCAGCTCTATCAAATAAGTTTAGTTCTTTCTTAAAATTGCTATTTAGTTTTTTAGATTTTGTATCATTTTATCGTATTCCTTAGATTTCTTGAATTAGGTTTTGACTTTCTCCTAAACCTTGATTATCTTTGTTCCTATCTATATTCTGAACTCTACATCTGTCATTTCACCCTTCAGCCTGGGTAAGAACCCTTCCTCAGAACTAGTGCAGTCATTTGGAGGTAAAAAGACACTCTATCTTTTTGACTTTCCTAGGTTCTTGCCTGTTTTTTTCTTTTCTGCTTGGGCCAATGTTAGTTTAATCTTTGAAGTTGCTGTCCTTTGGATGAAGTTATTTTGCTTTTATCTTCTCTGATGCCCTTGGGGGTTTGGTTTTGGTATAAGATGGATTCAGTTGACTGGCTTTGATTCTAGAAGATGTCACAGGGCCAAGACTCTGGGTCACAATGAAAGCAGTGTTAAGAGGGACGTTTATAATGCTACATGCCCACATCAAAAAGTCAGGAAGGTCTCAAATTAACAATCTAACATTGTATCTAGAAGAACTAGAAAAACAAGAGCAAACCAACCCCAAAGCTAGCAGAAGATAAGAAATATCCAAAATCAGAGGTGAACTGAATGATATTGAAACATGAAAAACCATACAAAAGATCAAAGAAACCAGAAGTTTGTTTTCTGAAAAAATAAATAAGACTGAAAGAAAATTATCTAGACTACTAAAGAAAAAAAGAGAGAAGATCCAAATAAACATAATCAGAAATGTCAAAGAAGACATTACCACCAACCCCACAGAAATATAAGAAAACTCTCAGAGACTATTACAAACTGCTCTATGAACACAAACTAAAAAACTTACGAGTAATGGATAGATTCCTGGAAATGTACAACCTTCCAAGATGGAACCAGAAAGAAACTGAAACCCTAGTCAGACTAATAATGAGTTCCAAAATTGAATCAGTAATAAAAAGCCTATCAATCAGAAAAAGCCCAAGAACATACATATTCACATCTGAAATGTACCAAATGTTCAATGAAAAACTGCTACTACTCCTACTGCAACTCTTCCAAAAATCTGAGTTGAAGGGATTCTTCCCTAACTCATTGTATGAGGACAGCATCATTCTGATGCCAAAACCTGGCAGAGAGACAACAACAACAAGAACCAAAAAACACTTCAAGCTAATATCCTTATGAACATTGATGCAAAAATTCTCAGCAAAATACTAGCAAACAATAATCCAGCAGGATATCAAAAAGCTAGTCTACTATCATCAAGTAGGCTTTATTCCTGGGATGCAGGGTTGGTTCAACATACACAAGTCAATAACGTGATCCATCACAAAAACAAGACTGAAAACAAAAAATCACATGAGCATCTCAATCGATGCAAAGACTTTCAATAAAATTCAGCATTTTTCATGTTAAAAACCATCAACAAACTAGGCATTGAAGAAACAAACCTCAAAATAATAAGAACCATTTATGACAAACACACAGCCAACATCTTACTGAATGGTCAAAAGCTGGAAGCATTCCTCTTGAGAACCAGAACAAGATAAGGATACCTACTTTCATCACTCCTACGCAACATAGTACTGAAAGTCCTATGTTAGAGCAATTGAGAAAGAGAAAGAAATAAAAGGCATCAAAATAAGAAGGGAGAAAGTCAACCTATCCATCTTTGCAAAATATATGATTTTATGTGTAGAAAAATCCATAGTGTCTGACCATAAGCTCCAAGATCTGATAAACAACTTCAGCAAAGATTCAGGATACATAATCAACATACAAATTTGTAGCATTTCTATATAGCAACAACATCCAAGCTACATACCAAATGAAGTACACAATCCCATTATGTACACACACACACACACACACACGCACACACACAATACCTAATAATACTGCTAACCAGGGAGATGAAAAGCCTCTTCAATGAGAAATACAAATCACTGCTTAGAAAAATCAGAGATGTCACAAACAAATGGAAAAATATTCCATGTTCCTGGATAGAAAGAATCAATATTCTTAAAATCGCCATACTGTGCAAAGCCAATTATAGATTCAATGCTTTCCTATCAAATACCAATGGTATTCTTTACAGAATTAGAAAAAAATTGTTTTAAAAATCATATGAAATGAAATTCTGTCCCCAAAGCCAAAGCAATCATAAGCAAAAAGAATAAAGCTGGAGTTGGAGGCATCTCATTGCCCAACTTCAAACTATACTACAAGTCTACAGTAACCAAAACAGCATGGTATTAGTACAAAAACAGATAAATAGACCAATAGAAAAAAATAGAGAGCCCAGAAATAAAGCTGCACACATACAACTATCTGAACTTCAACAAAAACAATCAATGGAAAAAAGACTCTATTTTATTAATGGTGCAGGGATAATTGGCTAACCATATGCAGAAGATTGGATTGGGACCTCTTCTTTACACCATATACAAAAATCAACTTAAGATTCATTAAAGACTTAAATGTAAAACCAAAAACTATAGAAACCCTTGAGGAAAACTTAAAAGATACCATTCTGGACATAGGCCCTTGAAAATATTTTATGATGAAGATGCCGAAAGCAATTGCAAAAGCAACAAAAAATTGACAAGTGGGACCTAATTAAGCTAAAGAGCTTCCATGGAGCAAAAGAAACTATCAACAGAATAAACAAACAACCCCAAAGACAGTGAAAAAAATCCTTGCAAACTACGCAGCTGACCTTACAAAATTTTATTTTATTTGTGTTTAATATTTATTTTTTAAACTTTTATTTTTTTAAATTTTTGTGGATACATATTAGGGGGGTGTGTGTGTGTATACATGTATATATATTTATGAGTAACATGATATATGTTGATACAGGCATTCAACATGAACTAATCATGTCAAGGTAAACAGGATATTCATCACCTCAAGCATTAACCCTTTGTGTTTCAAACAATTCAGTTATACTCTGAGTTATTTTTTTAATGTACAATTAAATTATTTTTCACTGTAGCTATCCAGTTTTGCTAGCAAATACTAGGTCTTATTTACTCTATTTTATGTACCCATTAGCTATTTCCCTGTCTACCCCTCACTCATTCCTGACTATTTTTCCCATCTTCCGGAAATCTTCATTCTACGCTTTATATTCAGGAGTTCAATTGTTGTAAATCTTAGCACCCACAGATGAGTGAGAACATGTGATATTTGTCTTTCTGTGCCTGGCTTATTTTACTTAACATAATGACCTCCAGTCGCATTCCTTTTATTGCAAATGGCAAGATCTCATTCTTTTCTATGGTGGAATAGTGCTCCATTCTGTATATGTACCATGTTTTCTTTATCCATTCATCTCTTAATGGACAAAAGTTGCTTGCAAATCTTGGCTAATGTGAATAGTGCTGCAAAAAACATGAGGTTTCAGATATCTCTTCAACATACTGATTTCCATTCTTTTGGCATTTACCTAGAAGTGGGATTGTTACCAGAAAGGGGTCCTGATCCAGACCTTGAGAGAGGATTCTTGGATCTCACGTGTGAAAGAATTCAAGGCAAATCAATAGAGTAAAGTGAAATCAAGTTTACTAAGAAAGAAGAAATAAAGAATGGCTACTCCACAAGCAGAGCAGCCCCAAGGGCTGCAGGTTGGCTAATTTTATGGTTATTTCTTGATTATACTCTAAACAAGGGGTGAATTTTTCATGAATTTTCTGGGAAAGAAGTGGACAATTCCTGGAACCGAGAGTTCCTCCCTTTTTGTACCATATAGGGTAACTTCCTGACATTGCCATGGCATTTGTAAACTGTCACGACACTGGTGGGAGTGTCTTTCAGTATACTAATACATTATAATTAGTGTATAATGAGCTGTGAGGATGACCAGAGGTCTCTTTTACTACCACCTTCGTTTTGGTGGGATTCGGCCACCTTCTTTACCACATGCTATTTCATCAGCAAGATCTTTGTGACTTGCATTTTGTGCTGATCTTCTATAACACCCTAAGATTGCCTTAACCTCTTGGGAATGTAGCCCAGTAGGTCTCAGCCTTATTTTCCTCAACCTCTATTCAAGACGGAGTAGTTCTGGTTCAAACGCCTCTGACAGGATTCCTGGATTATATGGTAGCTCTATTTATAGTATTTTAAGGAAACTCCAAACTGTTCTCCATAGTGGTTGTACTAATTTACATTCTCAACAACATCATATGAGTGTCCCCTTTTCTCCGTGTTCTCACCCGCATTTGTTATTGCCTGTATTTTGGATATAAGCCATTTTCACTGGGGTGAGATGATATCTCATTGTAGTTTTAATTTGTTTCTTTGATGATCAATTATGTTGAACACCTTTTAATATATCTGTTTGCTATTCGTGTGTCTTCTTTTGAGAGATGCCTATTCATATCTTTTGCCCAGTTTTTGATTGAATTATGAGTTTTTTTAATATAGAGTTGTTTATGCTCCTTTTATATTCTGTTCATTAATCCCTTATCAGATGGGTAGTTTGCAAATAAATTATCCCTGTATTTGGGGTTTCTCTTAAATTTCTTCTGCTTTGCAGAAGCCTATTAACTTGATATGCTCTCATCTTTCCATTTTTACTTTGATTGCCTGTGCCTGTGGGTTTTGCCCAAGAAGTGTTTGCCAAGATCAAAGTCCTGGAGAGTTTCTCCAATGTTTTCTTTTAGTAGTTTCATAGTTTGAGGACTTAGATTTAAGTAATTAATACATTTTGATTTGATTTTTGTATATGGTGAGAGATAAGGTTATGGTGTCATTCTTCTGCAATGTATATCCAGTTTTCCCAGCACCATTTATTGAAGAGATGGTCATTTCCACAGCGTATGTTCTTGGAAACGTTCTAAAAAAAGATAAGGTCACTGTAGATGTATGGATATGTTTCTGGGTTATTTATTCTCTTGAACTGCTCTATGTGTCTGTTTTTGTCCAGTACCTTACTGTTTTGGTTACTATAGCTCTGTAGTATAACTTAATGTCAGGTAATGCGGATACTCCAGTTATGGTTTTTTTGTTTGTTTGTTTGTTCATTTGTTTTTGCTTAGATTAGCTTTGGCTATTCTGGGTCTTCTTGTGGTTCCATATGAATTTTAGGATTATTTTTCCTATTTCTGTGAAGAATGTTATTTGTATTTGGTGGGGATTTTATTAAATCTGTAGATTGATTTGGGTAGTATGAATATTTTAACAATATTAGTTGTTCCAATCCATGAACATTGAATATCTTTTCATTTCTTTGCATTCTATTCCATATCTTGCACCATTAGTTCATAGTTTTTATTGTAGAGGTCTTTCACTTCTTTGAATAAGTGAATTCCTATTCATTTTATTTGTAACTATTGTAAACAGGATTACTTTTTAATTTCTTTTTCAGAATGGTTGACATTGGCATATAAAAATGCTACTAAGTTTGGTATATTGATTTTGTATCCTGAAATGTTACTAAATGTATCAGTTTTAATAGTTTTTTTGGTGAAGTTTTAAGTTTTTTTCAAAATATAATATATCATCTCCAAAGAGGGCAATTGGAATTTTTCGTTTTCAATTCATATGTCTTTTATTTGTTTCTTTGGACTGATTGCTCTGGGTAGAACTTCCAGTACTACATTGAATAACAGTGGTGACAGTGGACATCATTGTTGTATTCCAGATATTAGGGGGAAAATTTTCTGTTTTTCCCCATTCAGTATGATGCTAGCTGTGGGTCTTTCATATATTGCTTATATTATGTTGAGGTATGTTTCCACTATACTCAGTTTTATAAGGGTTTTTTAACTAACAGGGAATATTGAATTTTATCAAATATATTTTCAGTGCCAATTGAAATGATCATATATTTTTTCCTTAATTTTGTTACTATAATGCCTCACATTATTTAATTTGCTTATGTTGAAGCTTCCTTACATCTCTGGGATAATTCTACTTGTCATGATGAATGATTTTTTAATGTGTGGTTGAATTACATGTTCTAGTATTTTATTGAGGAGTTTTGCATTAATAGTCATCAGTGATATTGGGCTGTAGATTTCTATTTTTGATGTCTTTTTCTGATTTTGGTATCAGAGTAATGCTGGTTTCATGGAATGACTATGGCAATAAACTGCCTTTCTTTATTTTTCAGAATAGTTAGAGTGGCACTGGTATTAGTTCTTCTGCAATGTTTAGTAAAATTCATCAGTGAAGTCATCAGGTCCTAGGCTTTTCTTTGTTCAGAGATTTTTTTTTTATTACACTTTCTGTCTCATTACTTGTTATTATTGTGCTTAGGTTTTGGACTTTTTCATCGTTCAATCTTGGTAGGTTGTATGTGTCTAAGAATTTATCGATTTCTTATAGATTTTTGCAATTTATTGGAATTTAGTTACTCATAATAACCACTAATGATTCTTTGAATTTCTATGATGTCAGCTATAATGTCTCCCTTTTATTCCCTAATTTTCTGTATTTGAGACTTCTCTCTCTTTTTCTCAGTTATTCTCACTAAAGGTTTCTCACTTTTAATTTTTCAAAAACTAACTTTTTGTTTCCTTGAACTTTTGAATTTTCTTCATTTCAGTGTTATTTATTTATGCTCTGATTTTTGTCATCACTTTTTTTACACTGATTTTGGATTTGGTTTGCTCTTACTTTTCGATTTCTGTAAGATGCATCATTAGGTTGTTTATTTGAAGTTTTTCTTTTTTTAAGTAGACACTTATAACTATAAAGTTTCCTCTTAGCATTGCTTTTGCTGTATTCCACAGATTTTGGAATGTTATGTTTCTGTTATCATTTGTTTCAGTAAATTTTTTCAATTTTTTTTTCTTAATTTCTCCAATTACCCCCTAGTTATTCAGGAGCATATTGTTGAATTTCCATGTATTTGTATGATTTCCAAAATTCCTTTTGTTATTTATTTCTGGTTTTATTCCATTGTTGCCAAAGAAGATGCTTAATATTATTCCATATTTAAAAAAAAATTAAGATTTGTTTTGTGACCTAATATATTGTCTATCTAACCTTGGAAATAACCGATATGCTGAAAAGTAAAATGTGTATTCTGTAGCCATTGGATGAAATGTTCTGTATATATTAGTTTTGTTTGGTCTATAGAGCAGAATAAGTCTGATGTTTCTTTGTTGAGTTTCTTTCTGAAATATCTGTCCAATGCTGACAATGGGTTTCTGAAGTCTCCAGCTGTTATTATATTGGGGTCTATTTCTTTCTCTAGCACTAATAATTTATGCATTATGTATCTGATGCTCCACTGTTGGGTGCATGTATGCTTACAATCATTATATCTTCTTGCTGAATTGACCCATTTATCTTTACATAGTTGCCTTCTTTTTTCTCTTCATTTGTCTCTTCTCAGAATTTTGGTCTCTATTTTGTGTGATATAAAATCAATTTTGTGTGATATAAGTATAGCTACTACTCTTCTTTTTGGGTTTCCACTGGCATCAAATATCTTTATTCATATTTCTATTTTCAGTCTATGTGAGTTTTCCTAGGTGAAGTTTGTTTATAGTAGGCAACAATTCATTGGGTCTTGCTTTTTCCATTTATTCAGCCACTCTATGTCTTTTGATTGAAGAGTTTAGTCCATTTACATTTAATATATAAATACGTAATATGTAATGATATATAACAATTTACTCCTGCCACATTGTGATATGTTTTCTAGTTATTTGTGTTCTTCTCTTCCTTCATTCCATTTTTCTTGTCTTCCTTTTAGTGAGGATAATTTTTCTCTCATGATATAATTTAGCTTTTTGCTTTCAATTTTTTGTGCCTTCATTGTATTTTTTTAAATTTGAGGTTACCATGAGGCTTGCAAACAGTGTCTTATAACCCAAAGTTTTAACCTGATAACAAATTAGCACGGTTTTTTTATAAACAACAAACAAAGTAAACAGAAAAATTATAAAGACTCAATATTTTAACTTTGTCCTCCCACTTTTCAACTTTTCCTTGTTTGTAGTTACATCTTACTGTACTGACTATGTATTGAAAATCTGTTGTAGTTATTTTTGATTGGCACATTGTTTAGTCTTTCTACTTAGGATGAGAGTTTACACACCATAATGACAGTGTTATAATGTTTTGTGTTTATATGTGTACTTACAATTGCTAGTGAGTTTTGTACTTTCACATGACTTCCTATTGCTGAATATTGTCCTTTTTTCTCTGATTGCAGTTCTCTATTTTGCATTTCTTGTAGGACAGCTGTGATGTTGATGAAATCCCACAGTTTTTGTTTCTCTGGGAAAGCATTTATTTCTGCTTCATATTCAAAGTATATTTTCACTGACTATAATATTCTAGGGTAACAGTTTTTTTTTTTTCCCTTCAGCTCTTTAAATATGTCATGCTCCTTTCTCTTGGGCTGTAAGGTTTCTACTAAAAAGTCTGCTGCCAGATACATTTGAGTTTTATTGTATATATATGTATGTATATATGTGTGTGTATATGTATATATATACACATATATATATATATAAATTTTCATGGTTAAGACAATTAGAATCCAATGCTCGTAATCAGTAAATATTTTAACTGTTACATTTTTATCATACTAATTTAAGAAAGTAAGTTTATATAGATAATGGTATCCTTAACTATTTGAAGAATTGTATTGTAAAACTATAAACTTTCTTTAGTGTAATGTATCATTTTCTCTGATAACCACTGAAAATCATGACTCTGTTCTTCATCTCTATAATTTTGTTATGTCAAACTATTATATAAATGGAATCATACTATATATGCTTTTGAGGCTTTTTTCTTTTACTCAGCATAATTATCTTGATATCCATCTAAATTGTAGCATGTATCAGAAGTTCATTTTAATTGTTATATGGTTATTACACATCTGGTGATGAACACAAGGAAACTACTTGTAGAAATTATACTAAACTGACTATATTTCAGCAGATTTTGAGTTTTATTTGTCACTAGTTAATTTGGATCATGATACAAATAATGTTAAGGTTACCCCTTCACTACAATTTCTTACAAATAGACCATGCTTTTATGAAATTGTTATTCAGTTCTTTATAAATATATGTACCACTGTCTAAAACTAGAAAAATTCTGCCAAGAAAAATTTCTGTAATAAAAATGATTCTGTAAATTTAAATGATTGACAATGAAAGCTAAACATCAATCACCAAAGCATCGTTTTCCTATTTGAAAAATTTAGCAAACATCTTTATTCTTTATAATCTCCCATCCCTTCCTATGAAGTGCTTATTTTTTAAAATTGTCTTAATTCAGAGAATCATAAGATTAAAAAAAAAAAAACTATAACCAAATAAAGATTTTGATTTTTTTAAGTGAAGACCATGAGCACTATCAAGTGTTCTCTGTTATATTACTGGGCTCTTCAATTAATTATCCAAATTAATATTAAGGCATTAATTAACCCAATGAATGCCTGTAAAGAAACATTATGTATTAATTATTGTTCTAAGTTCTGGAGATTTTTACATAAATGTAAATATTACTGTTGTACTCACAAAGTTCAGTCTATTGAATGAAACAGATTTTAACCACATAATTAACAAATACATAAAAATACTTAAAAGCAACATAAAAAATAAACATTATGTTTGGAAGAAATCCATAAGAAAAATGGCAGGTTTTAAATTAGAAACAATAGATTTTAAAAGATAATAAAATTGCACCTCAGCCTGACCTTCTAATAAGCATGCTAATGACTATAAAAAAACTTTCTACACACATGTGAAGAGTATCTGCAGGCAGAAAGAAACTATAAGAAGTTTATATTGTTTAATCTTATTTTTAAACATTTACTTATAAGATTTTAAATCTTATAACTGGGTTTCTACCTGACCTATTGATAATTAAGTGCAAACTTACAGATTTATCTGGCATAGCAGGCTGAAAAATAAAAAGGGACACTGGCATGTTAAATATAAGTAAGTTGGTAAAATATAAAATGATTTTTTTAAGTAAAACAATATATTTTGAGAAAGATGTTTCTGCACACATTGTTCAGAACCCATGTTTTGTTCATCTGAAGGCAAAGATAGACTGTTGTGGGAGAAAAGGGACAATTTGAAACTTATGACTGATATAGCTTCTCCACAAAGAATTTCTATTTCCATTTTTTTGTACATTTTAAATATTTAATAAAATCAGGTATTGTGTCAGAGTCACAATTATATATCTATTTTTATTATTGAAAATATTGTGCTAACAAAATAGCATTTATTCATAGATGATACAATTGCGCATGCAGTAAATCTTTAATAATTGAGAAACAACTAGTACAATTAAGAAATAAATTTAGTGAGACTTGTGCATACAAAGTTATCACAAAATGTTCACTTTGATTTATATATAGCAACAAATATTGGGAAAACACACACACACATTAAAAACAGATACCTAAAAATAATTTGAATAAAATTGATGCAAAACTTGTTTACTTCAAACGAATAAAAAATACTGCACAGAAATGAAAAAAGTTTAGTAATTTGAAGAAATAATATAATTATAATTTGGAGTACTTAATATTGTTAAGATGTAAATTTCCCTGAAAATAATCTATAACGTCAATTAAGTCTCAAATGGAGATTTGAACTGATGTAAAAATCAGGTCATTTTATAGAATTTGGCAAGCTGACTCTATTACTCATTTGGCATGCAAAGGGCATAAGAGGCTAAGACCTTATTGAAAATGAAGAAGAAAAACAATGTTAGAGGAAATACAATTAATAGATTCCAAGACTATTAAGAATACTGTAATTTAGAGATTATGGTATTCAAATGTGGATAGTCAAAAAGATAAATAAAATAGAAATATACTATTTTAAAAATAGACCTGGCCAAGCACAGTGGCTCATGCCTATAATCCCAGCACTTTGAGAGGCCAAGGTGGGCAGATCGCTTGAGCCAAGGAGTTCAAAGACCAGCTGGCACAACATGGTGAAATACTACTTCTAGAATTTTACTGAGCTGGCCATGTTTTAGCAGGCCAGTTTCACTAGTTAATTTCTGTCTCTACAAAACATACAAAAATTAGCCAGGCATGATGACACATGTCTGTAGTCTTAGCCACTCAGGAGGCTGAGAAGTAGGAGGATCACTTGAGCCTAGCTGATTGAGGCTGCAGCAAGCCATGATTGAGCCACTGCACTCCAGCCTGGTAAACAGAGTGAGACTTTGTCTCAAAAAAAAAAAAAAAAAAAAAAAAAAATATATATATATATATATATATATACACACACACACACATACATATATGATACTCCATATTTGACAATGATATCAATGATATTTAATGGGACAGGAAAATCTTGTTAATAAATGATGATGGATCAACACAATAGCTGTATGGCTAAAAGTTAACCTTGTTCCCTACCTCATACCATGTACAAAATTTAATTTGAATATTCATCAATCTAATTATGAAGCTTAAATCTGTAAAGCTTCTAGAGTATAGTAAAGAAGAATATATTTGTAACCCAGGTGTGGGAGATTTCTTGGTCAGGTTTCAAAACCATAATAGGAAGATTAGACTTATAAATTATTTTTAAAAACTACTATTTATGAAAGGTGTCATTAAGCAAACTAAAAGGCTAATCAAAGACTGGAAGAAAACAGATGCAATATATTTACCAGGCAAATGCTTATACTTAGAATATTTTAGGAACTTCTACAAATTGATAATAAAATTTTATATAATCCAGTTTAAATAATGGATAAAAGCCTTCAATAAGCATTTCTCCAAAAAAAAAAAATCATTAGTTAACAGTATTACTGAAATATACATTTAAGCCATATTGAATTACCACTATAGCCCATTAGAATGACTAGAATTAAAAGAATAATGAAACCAACTAAATAAGTGGAATGTTAGCTGCAAATAATACAGTATTTTTTTTAGCAGTTTCTAATTAATTTGGGCACATACCTACTGTAACCGAGCACTTCCCCCCACAGGTGAATATACACAAGAAATGAGAATATATTTACACCAAAAAATACATATCTATATTTTCTGGATGTTCCAGATTATTTATAGACATTTCTTTTATAATAATCCCAAATTGGAAACAGTCAAAATGTTCATCATCAGGAGAACAGATAAACAAATTGTATCTTCATTCAAATTCATTCAATATTAAACAAAAATTAAAGTGATACATACAACTGCATAAATTTAAGTTAATGAAGATAACTTGAGCCAAATAAACTGCCCACAAGGAAATTAATGTTTATATTATGTGATTATATTTATAAGAAGTTCTAAAATAAGCAATATTAATCTATCTTAACAGAATTTAGAGGAATGATTATGAAGGCAGGTGGGAGAATTGAATGGCAAGGGTATAACAAAATCCCTAGGTTAAACAAAATACTCTGTTTCAATCTGGGTGGTTGTTACCCAGGTGTAGACATATACTGTATAATATTCACTAAGATGTACAATTAGGAATTACGCATTTTGTTTTTGTAAACTGTTCTCAATTATTTTAAAGGAAAGGGAGAAAAAGAACAACAGCAACAACAACAAAAGCAGCCTCCTGCCTGAGAAGTCTCTTGTAAATAAGAAGTGGAAAAGAACAGAAGAAAAGCAGGAATGACAAGATCAAGTTCCAAAAAGGCTTGAATACATGGGAATTTATTATTAGCTACCTTGATCTGCAAAAACAGAGAGGATATATGCTTCCAGAAAGAGAAAATGACTGATTTTATAAGAGGAATTTAGCTGCTTGAGCTCAGTATATCACCTCCATTTATTCTCAGCATGCCATCAGCAAATAGCTATCTGTTCTCAAAGGAAGTAATAACTTGAAAGTAATCTTCATAAACTTTTTTTATGCTATTCTATGCTATGTGATGTAAAGGTACTTTAAAGGAATAAGGTGGCATGAGAAAAGAATATTTAGGGATATCAGAAAACTATCCCAAGAAACGGAAAATTGTCAAGAAATAATTCTATAGATTCTCAAAGAAACTAATGGCAAGATGGTTTTATTAAAAAAAGATGAAAGTAGAGCTACCAAGCAAAGAGAATCTAGGAAACAAACATATAAATGCAATTTTATTAACTTACAGCCATTATGAAGCCTCCACAAGAAAGAAAAATACAACTGAAGCCTTGCTAGGAAAATTGAAGTCAATCTTGAAGGAAATACAAAGGTAAATGAAAGTAAAATAAATTATCAAATATAAATATGAAATAAGTCTAAAAGAGGGTAACTACATGCACAAAACTTATTCAATCTTCTATTCACTGTGCATTTATTGGACAACTATTATGTGTCAGTCATTGTTCCCAGTACTTGAATACAAAAATTTCTGTTCTCATATTGCTTGCAGTGTAGTAGAGAATGGAGTATTCTAGGTTTGGAGATGGGAGGAATGGCTAACACTTGAGTTCTCATGTGCCAGGAGCTATTCTAAGATTTGTACACATAATTTTCACATAAACTCACAAAGCTGTATATTATTGTTCCCACTTTACAAATCAAGAAAGTGAAATTCAAGAAATTTAAGTAACCTGTCCAAGGTTATAGAGACAGGATTCAAATCTAAAGCTATCTGTTTCTGTTGTCCAAATCCCTAGCCATTAATATGATACAGCACCCTTCTAAGAGCAGAAAGAAACAAATGAATATGGGGCGACTGTTTAATAAAAGAGTAAAGGAGATTACAGAGAGGAATGTAAATAACATATATATTTATATTTGTAGTATATATATTTATGTATAGTATATATTTATATAGTATATATATATACTATATACATTTATATATAGTATGTATTTTTATATATACTGTATATTTATATATGCATGTATTTCATTAATGAAATAAAATTGTAATGTTAGACAAAGATAGGTTGTAACGATGGATGTAGAATTGGGAAAAAAATTGATATACAAATTTACCCATGTTTCATAGCAAGAATTAGATTTTTTTGTGTGTGAAATTAAATGTGCAGTTAAAACACAATGTTCTCAGCCCATTAATGTTTCTTCTTACTACGTTAAGCATTAGTGGAATTTTTAAGTCCCAAATACCTCTCATAAAACAAATATTAAACAAATCTTTAAACTTTTCTCATTCCATGACAGTTTTCTTTTCTTCTTTAAACTCATTAAGAAATAAAAATAGCAAAGATTGAATAATTATATCTGGTAACTTCATTTCTATTTCTTTCTTCATTCCATCGACTGTCATGTTTTATAGATAGGAATCTAATTCAGTAATTTTGTTTTAATACTATTTTTAAATTTTTCCTGATAATATGTCCAAATTATTGAAAAGAAAACTACTTTAAAAGACCACCTTGACATATAGTTAACATAGCAAGATTTTACTTTTTCAAAAACATTTTTTATATGTGCTATTCTCTGGTTTTGATTATATAATATATATCTCTTCCTTAAAATAAATAAAAGATTTTGTATTATTTATATCTTCTTATTTATGTATTATTATGTCGTATATGTCTATTTGTCTATTATAAATATTTTTACCTCATGTAAGTAAAATGTATTCATTAAAATGTGAAACATTATTAGTTTTCTCTTATTCGAGTTTTGTAATCAAAATTAATTAAAAGTTTTTCTTTATACCTCCATGACATGCCTTTTGTATGTGTTTTTTTAGGGCCTCTGAGAAGCATCAAGAAATAATTAACAGTTGTTGATAGTTAACTTTAGGTGTCAACTAAACTGGATAATGGAATATCTAGAGAACTGGTAAAGCATTATTTCTGGGTTTGCCTGTGAGGGTATTTCTAGAGGAGACTAGCACAAGAGTCAGAGGGGAAAATCAAGTGAGTGGGGAAGACCAAGTTTCAATGTGGGTAGTCACCATGCAATTGGCTGAGGGTCCAGATAGAACAAAAGAGGAGAAAACAAAATTTTCTCTCTATCTCTCTCCCAGAGCTATGATATTGTCCTCCTCTGACATGTACTACATGTGTATAGACATTAGAACTTCAGGCTGCCTGGCCTTAGAACTCCATGACTTACATCAGTGTCCCCTTGAGTTTTCAGATACCTGGCCTTGGAATGAAACTTACACCATCAGCTTTCCTGGTCCTGAGGCCTTTGTACTTGGACTGATCCACACTATAAGCATCCCCAGGTCTTGAATGCAGAGAGTCATGGGATTTCTCATCCTCCATAATCATGTAAGCCAATTATTTTAATAAATCCCCTTTCATGTATCTATATCTATCTATCCTATTGGTCCTGTGTCTCTGGAAAACCCTGACTCATACAGCAGTGCAAAGATTTTATGAGGAGGCATGCTACCATAAGACAAAAAATGGAAAGGGGTTCTGGAATGATGAAAGAACAGTCAGACTTCAATGCAAGTATACCCATAAATAAAAGAAAGAACATAAAATTGGATGGACACATCCTAGATTGCCAGGTTGTCTAATAAATGATTGGTTTGGGTGTCACTGCTCTTTTTTGAAAGTGACCAGAGGAGTTTGGTGTGTCCCAGGAGTTGACTTGCCTTAGTACACTCCCTCCACATTTTGTAATTAGCTGGTAGCAGTGTGGGGGAGGCATGGGTGCAAACAGTGTAATAGATTTCAGAGAGCTGCCGATGGAGACTCTTGTAAATTGCACTTCTAGTAGGTGGAGAATGGAGGTGCATTATCCTCCAAACTAGACTATATATATATATATTCCAAAGATCAAGATATATATATGTACATGTATATGTATACATATATGTATATGTATATGTATACATATATGTATATGTATGTATACGTATGTGTATGTATATGCATGTATACATATATGTATGTGTATGTATATGTATGTATACATATATGCATGTGTATGTATATGTATGTATACATATATGCATGTGTATGTATATGTATGTATACATATATGTATGTGTATGTATATGTATGTATACATATATGTATGTGTATGTATATGTATGTATACATATATGTATGTGTATGTATATATGTATACATATATGTATGTGTGTATATGTATGATGCATGTTTATTACAGACTGCTACTTCATCAGTTCCTTTGTTTCCTTTGGAATATTTTACCACTCATTATACGATGTTTATCCTCTCAGTGTATCAACCATTCTTATGATAACAGAATTACCAACAAATGTTTTTTACTTCAAAAAAGAGTAGGTAATGCAAGCCAAAGAATTGGTCTTTATACCTAATGATATACCATAAATTTATTTTCATGTCAGTACTTATATAGCCATTGTGTTTAATGTTTAATGGCTGAGTAGTACTTTATTGAATAAATTTTCTAAGATATATTTATTCTTGTACTAATAGTTTGTTTCTAGATATTTGCTGCTAACACACTTAACTGAACACAGACATACACACACAAACACACACAGACTCACATACTGTGAGTTTATCTATAGGATAAAATCCAAGCATTACTGAATACAAATGACTAACAGATTTTATTTTTAAGACTTACAGATTTAAAACAAGAGTAGTATCTTAAGACACTAGTATCCTGCTGAAAATTTACAATGTTTACCTTTCCCCAAAGGGACTCTGGCCTTTTACCAGAGACCTGTGCACTGGGGAAGATTAAGTCTGCCTTTAGAGAATACTGGACAGTGGCTTTAAGTTGACAATGATTCCAGGAGACTTAAAACATCACTGTGGCCCTACAGTCAGAGTAGGGGGCTGATGGAGGTCAGGTGATCAATAAAGTTTTAACTCAAGTCCAACTTACAGTGGGTGCAGTGGGTCCTCAAACCCATTCTGTGATTATTATCTCAGTTCCAGATCCATAATTGAAATAGACATACTTAGCTACTGGCATAATCATCACGTGGTTTCCCTAACCTGTGGAGTGAGGTCCTTTATGGTGGAAAATGTCAAATGGAAGCAAGTAGAGTTTTCTCTCCCTAGGACAATAATAAATTGGTAAATTAAAAACAATACCATATTTTGGGAGGAATTTCAGAAACGAATGCCACCATCATAGATGTGAAAGATGCAAGGTGGTGATTCCCACCATATACCTATTTAGTTCTCCTATTTGGCCTGAACAGAAAATAGATGGATACTGGAGAATGACAGTGAGTTATTGTAACTTTAACCAGGGGCAACTCCAGTCATAAATGTTGTATCAGGTGTGGTTTCATTGCTTGAGAAAATAAACACATCTCCTGGTACCTGGTACACAGCTATTAATCGGCAAATGCCTTTTTCTCCACACCTGCCAATAAGGCCCACCAGAAGCAGTTTGCTTCCAGCTAGAAAGGCCAGCAATACACCTTCACTATTCTACCTCAGGGGCATATCAACTCTCCAGCACTGTGTTATAAGTTAGTTCATGTAGGTATTGATCACTATTCCTTTCCACAACATTTCACATTGGTCTCTTACATTGATGACATTATGCTGACTATACTTAGTGAGTGATAATTAGAAATGGCTCAGGACTTATTGTTAAGACATTTATGTGTCAGAGGATAGAAAATAATTCTTCTAAAATTCAGAGTCCTTCTACCTCAGTGAAATTTCTAGGGGTCCACTGGTGTAAGACGTATTGAGATAACTCTTCCAAGGTAAAGGATGAATTGTCACATCTAGACCCTCCTACGACCAAGAAAGAAGCACAATGCCTAGTGGGCCTACTTGGATTTTGGAAGCAACATATTCCTCATTTGGGTGTATGACTTTGACCCATTTACCAAGTGACCCAAAAAGCTGCTAATTTTAGGTGGGGTCCAATGTAGTGGAAGGCTCTCCAACAGGCCCAGGCTGCTGAGCAAGCTGCTCTGCCACTTGGGCCATATGAGATAACAGCTCCAAATGTACTTGAAGTTTCAATGGCTGAGAAGGATGTTGTTGGAATCTTTGGGAGGCCCCTGTAGGTGAATCACAGCACAGTCCTTTAGGTTTTGGGATCAAGGCCCTGACACTATCTGCAAATAACTACTCTCCTCTTGAGAAACAGTTCTTGGCCTGCTATCGGGCCTTAGTAGAAACCAAACACTTGACCATGGGGCACCACGTTACCATGACACCTGAGCTGCCTGTTGTGGACTGGCACCAACTATAATTATCTGAGCTACCAAGCCATAAATTGACATACACAGCAGCACTCCATCAGCAAATAGAAGCACCATATATGTGAGCATGTCCTGAAGTAAGTTACTTGAAGAAGTGGGCCAAATGCCATGATTCCTCTTCCTGCTATATTGCCTTCTCTCTCGCAGCCTATACCTATAACCTCTCAAGTAATAACCTATGATCAATGGAGAGAGGAATAGAAGACTCAGGGCTAGTTTACACTTGTGCTGCACAATATGCAGGCACCACCTGAAAGTGAACAGAACAACAGTGGCACTACAACCATTTTCTGGGACATCCTTGAAAGACATTGGTGAAGAAGAATCTTCTCAGTGGCTGGCACTGCATCCAGTGCACCTGGATGTCACTTTGCTTGGAATAAGAAATAACCAGGCATTCAATTATATACCAATTTATGGGCTGTGGTTTGGATGGATGGTGAGGGATTTGGAAATAACATGATTGGAAAATTGATGAGAAAAATATTGAGGGAAGAGCATGTGGATAGATTTCCCTCAGTGGGTAAAGACATAAAAATATTTGTGTCCCATGTGAATGTTCACCAAAAAAATGATCTCAGTAGAGGAGGACTTTAACAATCAAGTAAGCATAATGACTTATTCTGTAAATACCAATCAGCCTCTTTTCAAGCCATCACTACCACCCAATGAGCTCACAAAAAAAGTGGACATGGTTGGCAGGGATGGGGTTATTCAAGGGTTCAGCCACATGAATTTTCACTTACAAGACTGACTTGGCTATGGTCACCACTGAGTGCCCAATCTGCCAGCTGTAGAAATCAACATTAAGCCCTTGATATATCACCATTCACTGGGGGTAATCAGCTAGCTACCTGGTGGCAGGTTGATAACATTGAATATCTCTATTGTGGAATGGATAAGGTTTTGTTCTTACTGGGATAGACATTTACTCTGGACATGGATTTGCTTTCCTTGCACACAATGCTTCTGCCAAAACTACCATCCATAGACTTACAGGATGACTTATCCACCATCACGGTATCCCACAGGACACTGTTTCTGATCAAGAAACTTACTTCACAGCCAAAGAAGTCAGCAATGGGCTCATGCTCATGAAATTCACTGGTCTTACCAGGTTATCCTACCATCCTGAAGCAGTTGGCTTGATAGAAATTGGGAATGGCCTTTGGTAGGCTCAGTTACAGTGTCAGATAGGTGACAAAGCTTTGCAGGCTGCTGCAAGATTCACAAGAATGCTATAGATGCTCTGAGACAGCATTCAATATATAGTACAGTTTTTTTTTCATTGCCATAATTTAATGTTCCAGGAATCAAGGGTTGGAAATGAGAGTGATACAATTCACCGTTATCCCTAGTGACCTCCTAGCAAAATGTTAGCTTCCTTTTCCTACAACTTCATGCTCTGAGCTGGCCTAGAGGTCTTTGTGCCACAGGGAGAAGTGCTTGCACTAGGAGACACAACAATGATTCTATTGAACTCCAGGCTGTGACTGCCACCTGGCCACTTGTGGCTTCACATGCCTCTGAGTCAGCAGGATAAGGGGGAAGTAATGGTGTTTGCTGGAGTGATTGATCTAGAATATCAAGTGAATCTTGGATTGCTACTTCATAATGAAGGCAAGAAAGATTATATCTTTCTTGTAAGGAATACAAGAGATCCCTTAGGGTGTCTCTTAATGTTACCATGACCTGTAATTAAGATCAGTGGGAAATTATAACATCCTCATCCAGCCAGGACTACAAATTGCTCGTGCTGAGGAATGAAGTTTTCAGTTTCTCTACCTAGTAAAGAACCATGATTAGTTGAGGTGACGATTAATGCCATCCAAGAGTATAGAGTGGGAAGTAAAAGAATGTATGTAGTTTTAAATACCAGGTAAGATAATGTGACCAGTTACAGAAAAGAAGGCTTTGAGTACCGTCTATTCTTTCCTATTCTGTCACAAGTGCATTTATGTAAATATATGCATATATTAAGCAAATATCTTTTCCCCTCTTTTGTCTTGTACTGATATTTTCAGATATATTGGGTTTATATCACTATTTAAGTATGGATACTCAACTTACAAGGCAGTTATGTTCTGATAAACCCATGGTAAGCTGAAAATACCGTTAAGTCAAAATGCATTTATAATACACTGTAGAGTATCAGTTGTTTACTCTCATGGTAACATGGCTGACTGGGAGCTGTGATTCACAGCAGCTACCCAGCATTCTGAGAGAGTATGTACCACACTGATAGCCTGGGAAAAGATCAACATGCAAAATTCAAGGTACGGTTTCTACTGGATGCATACCACTTTCTCACTACCTAAGTTTTAAAAAAATTATAACTTGAACCATGACAAGTCAGGGGCCATTTTTATTGTTAATTTTTCCTCATGGTATTTAAGCTACCAACTATCAGGAGAGGAGTAAACATCACTCAAGGACCTTACCTCCTCTTCTGAGAAAGAGATTAGTGTGTTTCCAGTGTACATAGGGTAGTTGTATTATGCTAGGTGAAACTGTGACCTTGTTATTGTCTTCATTTGGAGATTAGGTACTATTTAAGGAGATACACATGAGTATCCAGGTAGATTTATTATGATTGCTTTGGGGGTGTCAAATCAGCTGAGAAAGCATGATTTATTCTCAATGCTTCAATAGGCACTGAGCCTGTCCCTCTTCTGCTGAAGGGTGAATTTGCTCACTCTTCTGGAGCTCAAACACTCTTTTTCTGCTGCCCATGGATGTTACAACTCCAGGTTCTCCAGCTTTTGGACTTTGGGACCCACACTATGGGCCCTCCAGACTCTCAGGCATTTGGACTTGGACTAAGTTACTGGTTTTCCAATTTGCAGATGGCCTATCATGAAACTTCTCAGCAACCATAATCAAGTGAACCAATTGCCCTAATGAATTTGTTTCATGTTTCCCTACACATCCTACTGGGTCTGTCTCTCTGAAGAACCTTCACTAAAACAGATAGTAAAGAGATATTCCTTATATGTAACAATTCTAATTTATTTAATGTAACTTATAATAATATTTTAAGTGACTTTTGATATTTGGCCAGTAATTCCAAAAAGTCATATTGAGTTTTAGCATACATGCATTTTACAATGAAAATTCTTGTTAAAATGCACAAATGGAACTTATTATTTTTCAGGTGTAGATTGATTTTGTGGAATATATAAAGAGGTGTAAAGAAACATCCCAAATTTGTTGCTTAAACTGATATGAATGTATACTTGCACTTTCAAATTTGATATGATGAGATATATTTGTGTACATGCTTAATGGGTGTTGGGCATAATTTAGCTACAGCCCTCAGAAGCTTTTTTAAAAATTTGGTAAAATTATATAAGACACTCAAATAATATTTTGAAATTTTTCAACTCTAAGTTATGACAAATTTATGTACAAATCTGTCATTTAGACTATAAATTGTAGATTAGTTTCACTCTATCTACTTACAGTAAAATTTTTAATGTGCTTAACAAAGTGTGGGTGAAAATACTTTGATCTACATTTCACACATTTTTCTAATTTTTAAAAATATTAAAATCAAGAGAAAATTAATTAAAAAGGATACCTCAGATCAAAATGTCACATAAATGTTGCCTATATATTGCAGATTACATTTCAAAACATTCATGTCTGCTTAGTACATAAATTATATCAAATCAGAATTCAAAACTATCAGATATGACATTTTATTCTTATTTTCAAAATTAGTATAAAACTTACACTCACAAAAAGGCAGCTATAAAATATTATTACAGTAGACCATTCATTTGCTGAAAATCTTTAGGAAGCAAAAACTACAAAATAACATTTTATAGTTTCTTTTTAAAATACATTCCATGTAATGTACTAAATACTACTCTTTATTACCACAAAAATATCAATTAAATTCAAGGAAAAATTTTTCTGTTGGAGGAAAAGATTTTCTTAAATGCTGATGGATGCATGATAAACTACTGAGGATAATTTGAAATCAATTTGAATTATTAATTATTGGATTTTTACAGGTTTGGATCAATATGTTCAAGATATAATAATAATATTTGAAAGCAGAAGCTGAAAAATCTTTTATGTAATCCTAAAAGAAAGGAAAAAGGGAATACTGACATCAGTTTTTATATTGTGAGAGAATCTTTAGCTGCTTATATATGGATTTATTTTTTAATGGACATTTACTTTTTCAGTTCTTAAATGTGATTAAAAAAAAATTTAGGCTCCTTGTCACTGATCTTTTTGTCACTATCCTTTTCTAGTTTATTTTTATATCAACTCATTTTAACTTGCTTTTTCCATGTCCATTTTTTTTCTCACATGGATAATTACTGTAATGTGTTAACAGCTACACTTTTGTTAATATGTGCTCTTTTAAAATATATATTGTATTTATGTGTAATGCGTTTGTATTTTCATCTTGTCCATTGCTGCTAATATAGCATACCTCATGGTATATATCCATATATGTATTTTCCATTGATGATTACCCAATTTTGTGGCTATTATATTTAGTTTGAGTTTAATAGAAAGATTTATGTTGACCACAATTATATGTAAGTATCATTCAGTTATTGCTGGTCATCCTCTTATGGTACTGTCTTCCCACTGTGCATTCTCATTTGGCATCATGATAGGCATGAGTGGGATGTATTGTGATTACTGTGACCTATGTCATCCAGCTCTGAATAATCTGAAATGCACAGAGCAAGAAAACACGGGATGGAATTTTTCCTTTATCATTGGATGTATAAAATTGCTTGAAAAACATGGTTCTCTTTTATATCTTTTCAAAATTGAAGTTCCCTTTGTCAGAAATACACTTGATAATGCAGTGTAAACAATCTAAATACACCTATTTATACCTTACGACAAAAATCAAGGAAAGTAGGATGCTTCATTTTTTGGAGAGTGCAGGTGCTATGCACAGTAGTATGTCTGTGTGTGAAATCTCATGTTTATGCATCTCAACGTATCATATCACAACTTACCGTATCTGACACAACTTGTTTTAAGGAGGACTTCCAATTACAAATTAAGTGCCATATAAGTCACTGCTGAAACAAAAAACTGCCTAAAGATAAAAATATTCAGTGATAAAAATTCTTACACATATCCATTAATAAGCAAATGCATATAATGTGGGGATAATTTGGTGACACGAATATATAGGCAGATATAGTATAAGGAAATCTTAAAATGCATTTGCCTACACACACACACACACACACACACACACACATACACAGATATGCATATAAATATGTATGTATATAAACATTTTAGAATATTTATAATTTTAAATAAATTACTGGTAATACCAAAATTCAAACATGTTGGTAATGTCTCAGGGGAAGTCAAAATGCAAACTGAATTGTGGTATTTTTCAGCTTTTTCAAAATTTGTGATTTGTTTTAATTTCTCTTTTCTTAAAATAAGTGCTTTTATAATTTGTATTTAAATTTTTTTTCCTTAAAAGGAGATATAAAAGTTACATATGCTTCAGACCTCATAAAATATGGATCTCTACTTGAAATATATTAATTTTGTTCTGTATCTGTAATACCACATTTTCTTTTGGCCTGTGGATTACCTTTTTTGTATAATTTCGTTTTTTAAAGTTAAAATCTGAATTTTCTGTAATTTCCCACATCTCTCATGGACTCTTCCTGTATTATTTCTCTTCCTATTTTAGAACTTACTGAAAATGTTTCAATGTAGAGCTTTTCATAGTACATAAATTATTGCACGTCTGAAAATACTTAAAATACAGAAATCAAAGATGGTAAAATATAGAATTCTAATTGCAAATCATTTTCTTTTAAGGCTAAATTTATTTCACCATTTTTTCTTTACCACTCTTTCTGAATCTACTCAGACAACTTTTTTATATGATCATTTATTTCTCCCTGAAATAATTTAAAATATTTTTATTAAAATTGAGGTCTTAACTTTATAACATGTTCAGGACATGGTTTTCTTTATCTCTCATTTGTAACTTCATACATAAATAAGGACATTCCTCTATTTTGACTCTTCATTTAATTTTAAATTATTTGTTCTGCCATTGAAAAACTATTAATAACTGCTTGAGACTTTCAATATCCTGATATTAGAATCTTTCCTTTTTCTCGCTCTTTACTTAATACTTATAAAAATATATTTTCTGTGAATCCCTTAATAATTTAATTTAATAATTTATTCACAGAATATATATATATATATATTTTCTTATTCTGCCTGACTCAACTTTATTCTGCCTTACTCAACATTATTATTCATGGTGTTATTATTACATCTAATTATTTCTTAGTTTTATGTAGTATTTTTCACAATTAGTATCTACTTTGTATTTTTAATGACTTTAGATTCTTGGATAACATTATTAAGTTAATTTTCTTAAATATAGCTAACATCTTTATTTTTAGTATATCTGCTTTTACAATTTCACTTTAGATAGCATTTACTATCGACAATTTGTATGTTATTATATGAAGGCATTTTATTACTTTGGTCTTGGTGCCTATTTTAGTGGAGACATTAGCTCTTCCTTCAGGGAGAGGCTAATGGAGAAGCACAGAAGGGCAGGACCTATTCTGTTTCACTTAAAGTGATTTTTCAAGAGGAAAGAGATGAGCCACTGAGCAGAACGTGAAGGTGCTACTGAATACTGTCTCGCTTACTACTACATCAAAGATAATTATCTGATAGTTAAATTTTTCTTGGAAGAAACCACATTTGAAAAATACATTCACTCTCATAGTCGTCCATCTGCCCTGGATATTTTGAGGATTAAATATTGAAGAAATAAAATCTAAAGGCAAACTCACTGAGTGTCACATATTTTCATCAGTTCTCAATACTAGCAGGGACTTCTGTGACTGTAATATTACCTATGCACTTTGACATATGGAATGCCAATCCTTTTGATAATGAAAGAACGCAGCTGAGAAGGAAAGATATTAAATATTGTAAACCAAAAACTCTCATTGCCGCCTGCAGAAGGCATCTGCTGAAAGCTCAAACCTACTTCCCCAACTCCAGGTTAAGTATACACATTAGAGTGATAAAAACAGAATTCAAATTGCTCTTGCAGTTTCTCACAAAACTGTTGTTGTTATGGTATTATTGTCATTGTTATTGTTTTTAATTGCATAAGGCCAAGCTCCTTTATTTTTTATTAATTTTTAAATAAAAATCGTATGTATTTAAGGTGTACAGCACTCTCAAGCTAATTAACATATTCATAACCTTATATAGTTGCCAGGTTTTGTGTGTGTATGTGTGGTTAGAGCACTGAAATCTACTCTCAAAGTTTTCAGTATATAATACAGAATTATTGACTGTAGTCATTGCAGCATTATTCGCAACAGCCAAGTTGTAGAAACAACCTTAAGTGTCTCTCATATTTTATTCAAACCAAGAATAGTTTATTTTCTTGACCTTTAAAAAATATATATACATATGTAAATATATTATTTATTCATATTGTCAACTACCCCAAAACTTGTATAATTTTTAAAAATATGCAATCCTGGATATGAAAGCCAAATAAAAAATAACCACAGGTTAGAAATAACAGATAAAATAACAATAAAACAAATAATAAAATTTCCAATTCCAGATTTCTAACAGTGGCAATCCCTTAATAATTTAAGATACTTATAACTTTAACTCTCTATTTGTAATTGGACTCCTGTGTTGTGAGCATTACAATAAATTAAGTCTCAGTGGTACATAATTTATTACTTATGCAGTTGTAAATTAAATGGAAAATAAATTAACTTCAACATGAATTTCTAAGTGTATTTTGTAGTACCTAGTTCAAGAAAAAGGAATTGCTATTAAAACTTTGAAATCATCCATTAAGTCAGATTTAAATCAGTCATGTTGAGAAGAGATGACAATATCATAGCACTTAAAACAATTATGCTCAAAATGTATATTAAAATTAATGTATATGTATGTGTAATGTAATTAAATATATTGCATAATACAAATGTAAATATATTTTAAAATAAAAAAACACTAATGAGATAAGAAATATTCCTGTTATGTAGGTATCTGGTGGAAAAATAAATTTATATGTTAGAGAAGATGTTGATGATATAGTTACATAGACATTTTACTTATGTTTAGAACTTCCCCTTTTATTTCACAGAAATAATATTGGAAGATACACATAACTTAAACTTTAAATTAAATAAATACATTAAGTATGAAGATAAAATTTTGTCTTGTAGACGAGGAGATTATTCTGAATTTTCTATATGGGCTCAAAATAATCACATAAGTTCATGTGAGTAAAGAAACTTTCCCAACTCTGGTAGGTGGAAGATGTGATTATGAACTATGGTCAGAGAGATGCAACACAGCTGGTTTTAAAGATGGAGTAAAAGGGCCACACGCCAAGGAATATTGGAAACTCTTAGAAGCTGGAAAAGGCAGAAACATAGATTTTCCCCAAAAGCCTCCAGAAAGGAATGTCCCAAATTTGCCTTTAGGCCAGCAAGACTTCTGTTGAACTTCTATGCTATAGAAATGCAAGATAATAAATTTGTTTTGATTTAAGCCATGAAATATACGGTGATTTGTTAAAGCAGACAAAGAAATCTAATATAAAGCTATCGATTTTCTCATTTTCTGTTTATTAAGAAGACCTGAGATATATATATAAAAGCAAACAGAGAAAATAAAAAACAATCAAAAAACCCTCTAGCTAAGAATTTTCAAAATTTATTTCAAAGATAAATGGTTTTCTAAAGATTTATATTAAAAAGGTGCTCCTATCAAATAAGTGTATTAAATTGAACATACAATTTACAGTTTTGAAGATCAAAATATATTTTGACATTATATAGCAAAATATTACCTATTATTATACATTTTATTATATGAAAATAGCTAGTATTGCTGCATTAAAGATACTGGTTTACTCTAGACAAATCTCAGACAAAATTGAAGGGCTGGAAAGATAGCCAACTAGACACAGCTGGGAAATGCCTTTTCCACAGAGAAGAGACAAAATATCCAGTAAACCATTACATTTTGAATGGATCTTTAAAGAGGAAAAATCAGAAATCAATAGAGAGGTGACAGGCACTGCAGTTTAACAGGGAGGAAGCTGGGAAGCCTGCATGGAGCCATTGGGTGCCAGGACTGGTCCCTGGACCCAGACTAGACCTAGAGTGAAAAAACCCTAGGACACTACATTCCCACTATGGACCTCTGAGATCCTAGTGACAGAAATTCCCAGACACCCATAGTCCTTTGGACTGGCAGAAGGAGCCACCTGGAGAACAAGTAGAGGCAAGCTTGAATCTACGCACAGCCTAGAAGGCTTCACTGTTTAACTGCAGTGAAATGCAATAGGCACCCATACCCATCTTTCACTCCATCTTTCACTGAGCGGGCGCAGCTCCTGCTCTCTGCCAAGCTAAGAGAGAGCAGGGCCACCATCGCTATGGGACTGAGGTGCTTCTGATCCCTGCACCCCTTTGCCTGCCAGCTCACAGCACAGCCTACACTGCCCCACTTGGATGTTTTACTGGCAGCCTAAGATCAGTTCATCCCCCAATTATGGATGGTGCTTGACTTTAAGGGGACAGAGGACAAAACTGTGGGCCAAGTCTCAACTCCCCAGTACTCAAGCACACCAGCTTGGGTTATCAAGCAAAAACGTATGCCTTGAGCTCAAGTAGGAGAAGAAATCTCACTGTCAGAACTCTGTGTGCCAGCACGGGAGATGGGCAGCACTGCTTTTGCAAGACCAGACTGGGATGGATAGGGCTTGATAGCTGTGGCTTCTCTCCCTGGGAAGCCACAGCCCAGAATGTCTGGAATGGCTCAGAAATCTGGGCACAGATGGCCTGGGACAAGCCTAACTTATTGGGAATGTTCCCGGGGCAGACACTGTTAGTAGAGCCCCTGGGTTCAGAGTGTGTGAGCTGGGCAGGCCCCACATCTGTCTGTGGGCTGAAAACACTGGGCTATGGGTATCATACTGGTTGAACATCCACAGTGCCTATGCCCAGCCTTGGGATCCCCTGCCCTAGAGCCACTGCATCACGAGACCACTAGCAAACATACCCCAAAACCCACTCTGACTTTGGCAAGCACGAGGGACTGGTAGATTTCTGGGGAGTCAGAGATCTCCTGGGGACCTAACCCTCAGTGTGTACCACCCCTACAGCAGAGGGAAGTACAGCCTGCTAAAGCCCCCTTTGGGGGAAAGGAAACACTGGCATAGTGCCAGCAATGAAGAGAATACAATGAAAGCCCAGAAATGGACTTGGAGAGCGAGTCTTCTCTTGTCCTCTTTTGTCTCCTCCCCAGAGCACTGTTGCAGATGCACTGAAATACAAAAAGTGTAAGCATGGCTGAGTGAGAGCCTGTGTGTTGGCCCTCACTCTTAAGCACCATCTACCAGACTGCAGTCTGAATTACACCACCAAACAAAAATAATTTGCTACAACATACAATGCCTATGAAACCTATAACAGGAATCTATCTACAATCAAGGAACCTGTACAGAGCTTTGGCTCCCTGAAAGCACCCAGAAACAAAGCTAATAAATTCCATACAACATACATCACAATCAGGCTATAAAGGGAAAAAAGAATAAAAATTCAAAAAGCTTCATCCAAATGACAGCAATTTCAAAAAGAGAAAGGAAGTGTCAGCTTCCTCAGATGAAAAGGAAATAGCTCAAGAATATTAGCAATACAATGAAAAGGAAATAGCTCAAGAATATTAGCAATACAAAAAGCCAGAGTGTTTTGTTGCTCCCAAAGATCACACTAGCTCCCTGCCAATAAATCTTACCAGATTGAAATATCTAAAATGGCAGATATAGAACTCAGAATCTGGATGGCAAGGAAACTCATAAAGATCCAAGAGAAGATTGGAAGTCAATCCAAGGGAAGCCAGAAAAATTATCCAAGACTTGAAAGCCAAGATAGCCACATTTAAAAAGAAGAAAACTGAACTTCTGAAATTAAAAAAAAAATTACTATAAGAATTTCAAAACACAGTTAAAAGTCTTAACAACAGACTAGACCAAGCTGAGTAAAGAATTTTGAAGCTTAAAGATGGGTACTTTGAATCAACCTAGTCAGACAAAAATAAAGAAAAAAAGATTTTTAAAAAATGAACAAGGCCTCTGCAAAAGGTGGGATTATCTAAAGTGACCAGACCTACAACCCATTGGTTTTTCTGAGAGAGAAGAAGAGAAAGTAGGTAACTTGGAAAATATATTTGAAGATACAATTCATGAAAATGTTCCCAATCTCACTAGAGAGGTTGACATACAGATACAAGAAATTCAGATAACTTTGAAAGATACTATACAAGATGATCATCTCTGAGTTATATAGTCATCAGACTACCCAAGGTCAATACAAAAAAAAATTAAAGGTAGCCAGAGAAAAGGGCCATATTACCTATTAAGGGAATCCCATCAGACTAACAGCAATTTCTCTGAAGAAGATTTACAAGCCAATAGATACTGTGGGCTTGTGTTTTTCAGCATCCTTAAAAAAAAAATCCATCCAAGAATTTTATACCCCAACAAACAAGCACAAGCAAAGGAGAAATAAAATCTTTTCTAGACAAGCAATTGCTAGTGGAATTCAGTGCCACCAGACTGGCCTTATAAGACACATTTAAGGGGGTTCCGAATATGGAAATGAAAAACAATGATACTGGCTACGACATCAACGACAACAAAAACACGCTAAGTACATAGCCCACAGACCCTATAAAGCAACTAAACAATCAAGACTACAAGCAACAGGCTAACAAAACCACACAGGAACAAAATTTCACATCATTTTTAACCTTGAAAGAAAATAGTCTAAAGATGCCACTTAAAATCAAAAAGTGGAATATTGGATTAAAAAACAAGACTTAATCTTATGCAGTCTTCAAGACAACCATCTCACATGTAATGATGCCCATAGTGTCAAAGTAAAGTGATGAAAAATGATCTATCGGCTGGTTGTGGTGGCTCATGCCTGTAATCCCAGCACTTTGAGAGGTCAAGGTGGGTGGATCACCGGAGGTCAAGAGTTTGAGGCCAGCCTGGCCAACATGATGAAACCCCATCTTTACTAAAAACATACTAGCCAAGCGTGGTGGCGGGTACTTGTAACCCCAGCTATTCAGGAGGCTGAGGTAGGAGAATCACTTGAACCCGGCAGTGGAAGTTACAGTGAGCTGAAACAGTACCATTGCACTCCAGCCTGGGCAAAAAGAGCAAAACTCCATCTCAAAAAAAAAAAAAAAAAATCTATCACAGAAACAAAAAACACAAAAAAGGAAGGGGTCACTATTCTTGTGTCAGATAAAACAGCCTTTAAGCCAGCAATGGTAAACAACAACAAAAACAACAACAACAACGAAAGTCATTCCATAATGATAAAACATTCAATTTAACATGAAGACTCAACTATCCTAAGTATATATTCCCTCAACATTGGAACAACTAGATTTATAAAATAATTACTTCTAGATCTAAGAAAAGATTTTGACACACAATAATAATGTACTTCAACACTCCATTGACAGCATTAGACAGATCATTATGGGATAAAACTAACAAAGAAATTCTGGACTTAAATTCAACACTTTACCAACTGGACATACTAGACAGCTACAGAATACTCCATCCAACATCCGAAGAATATACGTTCTTCTCATCTACAGAATGAACATACTCTAAAATTTACCACATGCATAAAGCAAGTCTGAACACATTTTTTTTTAAATGAAAATATACCAAGCCCCTTCTCAAACCATAGTGGAATAAAAATAGAAATGAATCCCAAGGGAAACTCTCAAAACTACACAAGTGTGTGTAAACTAAATGACTTGCTCCTTAACAATTTTCAGGAAAACAATGAAATTAAGGAACAAATCAAAAATTTATTTAAAAACATGAAAATAACACAACATAATAAATCTCTGGAATGCAGCAAAAGCAGTGTTAAGAGGAATGTTTGCAGCCAGGCACGGTGGCTCACGCCTGTAATCCCAGCACTCTGGGAGGCTGAGGCGGGCGGATCACAAGGTCAGGAGATCAAGACCATCCTGGCGAACACGGTGAAACCCCCGTCTCTACTAAAAATACAAAAAATTAGCCGGGCGTGGTGGTGGGTGCCTGTAGTCCCAGCTACTCAGGAGGCTGAGGCAGGAGAATGGCATGAACCCGGGAGGTGGAGTTTGCAGTGAGCCGAGATCATGCCACTGCACTCCAGCCTGGGCAACAGAGCAAGACTCCGTCTCAAAAAAAAAAAAAAAAAAAAGAGGAATGTTTGCAGCACTAAACACTTACCCCGAAAAGATAAGAAGATATCAAGTTAACAATCTGATGTCAAACCTAAAAGAACTAGAAAAACAAGAGTGAACTAAATGCAAACCTAGAGAAGAAAATAAGTGATTAAAACCAGGGCAGACCAAATAAAATTCACACCAGAAAAGACAACATACCAAAGGAAAAAAAAAGTTGTTCCCTTGAAAGGATTAATAAGAATGACAGAATGCTAGCTAGATTAACAATGCAAAAGAAAGAGAAAATCCAAATAAACACAATCAGAAATGACAAAGGTGATATTACAACTGATCCCATGGAAATGACAAAAGACGTTCAAGGGTTAAAATAATCAATCTTTATGCACAAAAGTTAGACACTTTAGAGGAAATTGACAAATTTCTGATAACATGACCTTCCAAGATTGAAAAAAAAAAATAGAAATACTTAGCAGACCAATAATGACTTACAAAATTACATCAGCATTAAACAGTCCTACCAAATAAAAAATGTTCTGGACCAGATGGATTCTCAGGGAATTCTACCTAGTATATAAAGAAGAGCTGGTCCCAATGTTAGTGAAACTATTCTAAAAAGAAAAAAAAAATCATGGAGGAGGGGATTCCCCCTTGACTCATTCTACAAAACCAGTATCATCCTGATATCAAAATCTGGCAAAGACAGAACAAGGAATACCACAGATAATATCCTTGATGAACACAGATGCAAAAATCCTCAGCAAAATATTAGCAAACCGAACCCAAGGGAACATCAAAAATATAACCCACCAAAATCAAGAGAGCTTTATTTCTGGGATGCGAGATTGGATCAACATATGCAAATCAATAAATCTGATTCACCATATAAACAAAATTAAAAACAAAAAACCATATGATCATCTTGACAAACAATAAAGCAATTGATGAAATCCACTGCTCCTCCGCTCCTTCATGATAAAAACCCCCAACAAACTAAGAATTGAAAGAACATATCTCAAAATAATAAGTACAACCTATGACAAACCCACAGCCAATAGCATACTAAATGGGCACAAGTTGGAAGCATTTCTATTAACAACTTGAACAAGCCAGTGATGTCCACTCTCACCACTCATATTCATCACAGTACTGGAAGACCTAGCCAGAGTGATCAGGCAAAAGAAAGAAATACAACTTCTTCTAATAGAAAAATAATTAGTCAAAATACATTTCTTCATTGATGCTATGACTCCATACTTAGAAAACCACAAAAGCTCTGCCAAAAGGTTCTGAGAATTTATACATGTCTTCAGTCAAGTTTCAAGATACAAAGTCAATGTAAAAAAATCAGTAGCATTTCCATACACCAATAATGTTCAAGCTGAGAGTCAAGTCAAGAATGCAATCCTATTTCAAATAGCCATAAAAAATACATAGAAATATAGCTAACCAAAGAGATGAACGATTTCTACAAGAAGAATTAGAAAACACTGATGACAGAAATCAGAAATGACACAAACAAATGGAAAACATTCCACACTCATGAATTGAAAGAATCAATATCATTAAAATGTTTATACTACCCAAAACAAACTACTAGATTTAACAAAATTCCTATCAGATTATCAACATTATTTTTCACAGAATTAGAAAAATCTAATCTAAAATTCAAATGGAATCAAAAAAGGGCCCTACAGCCAAAGAAATCTTAAGCAAAAAGAACCAAAGCCAGAGACCTCACATTACCTGAATTTAAACTACAAAGCTACAGTAACCAAAACAGAATAGTACTTGTTCAAAAACAGACACATAGACCAATGGAACATAATAGAGAAGCCATAATAAAGCCACACACATACAATCAACTTATCTTTGACAAACTCAACAAAAATAAACAATGGAGAAAAGATAGCCCATTCAATAAATGGTGCCAGAAAAACTTGCTACCCATATTCAGAAGAATGACACTTGACTCCTTCCTCTCATCATATACAACTATTAACTCAACATAGATTAAAGACTTAAATGTAAAACCTCAAACTGTCAGAATCCTAGAAGGAAACCTAAGACATACTCTTCTGAACATTGGTCTAGGCAAAGTATTTATAACGAAGTCTTCAAATGCAAATGCAACAAAACCAAAAATTGACAGTTGGGACTTAGTGAAACTAAAGAGCTTCTGCACAGCAAGAGAAACTATCAATGGGGTAAACAGATGACCTACAGAATGGGAGAAAATACTTTCACACTATGTATCTAAAAAAAGATCTAATATCTAAAATCTATAAGGAACATAAATTAACAAGTAAAAACAAGCAACCTCATTAAAAAGTGGCCAAAAAACATGAAGAGACACTTTTCTAAAGAAACTACACAAGGGACCAACAAACATGGAAAAATGCTCAACTTCAATAATAATCAGAGAAATACAAATCAAAACCACAATGAGAGATTCTATCACACCAGTCAGAATGGCTATTATTAAAAAGTAAAAAAAATGAAAATAGGTTTTGACCAGGCATGGAAAAAGGTGAATGCTTATATACTGTTGGTGGGATTGTAAATTACCTCAGTCCCTGTGGAAAGCAGTTTGAAAATTTCTCAAAGAACTAAAAATAGAATTACCATTTTGCCCACCAATCCCATTACTTTCTATATGCCCAAAGGAAAGTAAATTGTTCTATCAAATGCACCCCCAACAAAACCAAACACCTGCACTGGCATGATTATCATAGCACTATTCAAAATAGCAGACATGGAATCAACCTAGGTATCCATTGATGGTGGATTGAATAAAGAAAATGTGGTACATATATACCATGGAATATTACACAGCCATAAGAGTATGAAGTCATGTTTTGCAATTACACAGATGCAGCTGGAAGTCCTTATCTGAAGTGAATTAATGCAGAAACATAAAACCAAATAATGCATGGTCCCAGTTATACGTGGGAGCTAATCATTGGTGCACATGGACACAGAGATGGGAACATTAGACACTGGGGATTTAAGAAGAGGGGAAGGAGGGCGCGGGAACAGGGTTGAAAAACTACCTATCAGGCACTATGTTCACTCACTCATTGAGCTACAGAATCATTAGAAGTCCAAACCTCAGCATCACACAATCTACCCATGTAACAAACCTGCACATGTACCACTTGAACCTAAAATTAAAAAAAAATCAAAACACAAACAAAACAACACAATAGGAAACAAAAAATAGTCTAATTGTATCATATGCACACCACTAATATCTGAATATATAAAGAACTACTAAAAATTTAGGAAAGAAATACTGTCATTATTAAAAAATCTTTGGAATTTATAAACCATTAGTTCTCAAGTAAATCAATGCAAATTATTGTTGTCTATGGAGAAAATGTTCAGTAACACTCATGATAAGAAAATGCATATCCACAATTAACAAGGATGCAATTTCCCATTTATCAAAAATTCAGAAGCTTGACAAGTCCTATAGATAGTTGTGGGAAAATCGGCACTCTCATATATCACTTGTACATATAAAAAATGAATGATGACATTTTTATTTAGGAGTATTTATTAATATATAGTGAAATTATAGATGTATTTTCTCTGACCAAGTAATCTCAGTTTTGAAAATCTGGTTTTAAAAATTCTAATATATTTAATAACATAAATATATATGTGGTAGCTCTACTGAAATAGACAAGTGGAGACTAGAAGAAGCTTGAAGACAAATCCATCACAAATGCATTGAACAAAATATGGTATGTATTTTAGGATAAATAAAGACTTAATGAGGAAAGTTTTTAATGTAAGATTTTAGCTGTATTAGTTTTCTAAGGCTGCTATAAAAAAATACCACAAAATGGATGACTTAAAACAACAGAAATATATTTATTTACAATTCTGGAGATTAGAAGTCTAATAAAGGTGTTGGCAGGCTCATGTTCTCTCTGACGGTTCTAGGGGAAGATACTTCCTTGCCTTTTTCCAGCATCTGACAGTTGCTGCCAATCCATAGCATTCCTTGGCTTGCAGCTGCATAACTCCAGTCTTTGTTTCCATTGTCGCGTGTTTTTCTTCCCTCTGTTTGCCTCTGTGTCTCTTTTTTTTTTTCTTATTGAGACTCCAGTGATTAGACTAGGGTTGACCTTAATCTAGTGCAGGCTCATCTTAACTTGATTACATCTGAAAAGATCCTACTTCCAAAATGGTATGATGTAAATGTTTTTGTGCCATGTGAATGTCCACCAAACAGTGATCTCAGCAGAGAGGGACTTTAATAACCAAGTGGACAGAAAGACCCATACTTTGTGTACAAGTCAGCCTCTTTCCCCAGCAACTCCTATCATTACCAAGAGGACTCATGAACAAAGTGGCCATGTTAGTAAAAATGGAGGTTATGAATGGGCTCAGCAAAATAGAGTTCCACTCATCACGGCTGACCTGACTATAGCCATTGCTAAGTGTTCATTCTACAAGAATCAGAGACCACCGCTGATTCCCTGATATGAGAGTATTCCCTGGTGCAATCAGCCAGCTACTTGGTAGCAGGTCTATTGCACTGCATGACTTCCATCATGAAAGGGCAGTGCTTTGTTTTTACTGAACTAGATATTCACCTGAATATAGATTTGCTTTCCTTTCATGGAATGCTTCTGTCAAATCTACTGTCTGTTGATTTACAGCTAGAAAAGAAGGCCCGAGAGTCCCTGGCAAACCACTGGTGTAAGTCCAAGAGTCCAAAAGCAGAAGAACTTGCAGACTGATGTTTGGGGGCAGGAAGCAACCAGCATAGAAGAACGAAGAATACTAGAAGACTCAGCAAGTCAGCTCCTTCCACCTTCTTCTGCTTGCTTTATTCTAGCTGCTCTGGCAGCTGATTACATGGTGCTCACCCAGATTGCGGGTGGGTCTGCATCTCCCAGTTCACTGACACAAATGTTAATCTCCTTTGGCAACACCCTCACAGACACACCCAGGAACAATACTTTGCATCCTCAGTCAAGTTGACACTCAACATTAGCCATCACAAGTCCATCCCTTGTCAACTTGAACCCATACACATCTCCTGAAATTACACATAATCTTCAAATAAAGACAATAATGATGTCATAATTACACCTAACTTAATACGGCTATCCTTCATACAACCAGAAGTGAATTATTAACCGAAATGCTATTACATAAAGTTAATAACACTTAACTGCTGATATGAAGTTAATAATGTCACTTGATAAGGGAAAAGCAAAGGAAATAAATAAAGGTATTTTCTTAGTAGAAGTGTATACATGCACAAACATGTAAGGAGGAAATCCACATGACAATTACAGGTCTCATTTCTGCAACTGGTCTTGTGGTCATAGCTGGTATTGATGACTACCTTTTTCTACTAACCATTCTGTATTCCCTTTGCCTTCAGCTAGCACCTCAGCAGGCTGTTATTTTTTTACCTGGTGAAGTCACCCAACCCTTCATTCCTGAAGAGTCTGGGCCATTTGTAGTCCTGCCTAGATTGGATTGTTGTAGTTTTCCACTGACCTTAATCACAGGGCATGGTAGTACTAAAAGACGGCCTAAGGGATCTCCTGTATTCCACACATATTCTTCCTTACCTCCACTGTGGAGTAGTAACCTGATTTCATCTTGATAGTCCAGGTCAATCACCCAAGTCAACACTGTAACTCCTTTCTTGACCTGTTGACTTAGAGGTGGGAGGAGCCCAAAGTGGCCAGGTGGCAATTTTAACTTTCAGTTTAATGGTATCATTCTTGTGTCGACTGGTGGCAGAATTCTTCCCTCTGGAACTAAGGCCAGCAGAACATAATGTTGGGGGAACTGGAAGTAAAATTTTTGCTAGTGGGTCACTAGGAGTGATGGTGAGTGGTGCCACTTCTACTTCTACCCCTTGATTCTTAGGCCTGTGAATGCTGGCTATGAGGGAAACAGTACCATATATTGGATGCTGATTCAGGACATACTCAGCCTTCAAGAGAACTTTGCCGAGCCCTGCAAAGTATTGTCACCTAGTTGGTGGTGTAATTGTGATTTCAAATGGCCTTTCCACTGTTCTATCAATCCAGCTGCTTTAAGATAATGGGCAACAAGATACAATCAGTGAATTCCATGAGCATGAGCCCACTGCCACACTTCCTTAGCTATAAAATAAGTGCCTTGTTTAGAGGCAATGCTGTGTGGAATGCCATGATGGTGGATAAGGCTTTCCATGAGTCCACAGATGGTACTCCTGGCAGAAGCATTGCCTGCAGGATAGACAAACCCATATCGAGAATAAGTGTCTATTCCAGGAAGGACAAACCACTGCCATTTCTCTGATGAAAGATGTCCAATATAATCAACCTGCCATCAAGTAGTTGGCTGATCACCACAAAGCATGGTGCCATATGAAGGGCTCAGTGTTGGTCTTGCCTGCTGCCAAATTGGGCACTCAGCCGTACTCCAGGCCTAAGTCGGACTTTTGAAGTTTTTTTCTAATGTCTGCAGCTAACTGAGTGACAAACTTATCCTTTAAGATTAGTTGGCCTTCAATAGAGTCAGGTGACAGGGAGGTATGCTTCCTTAATGCCTCCCTTACTCTCTCCAGAAAGGCAGTAGGATTTTCTTCCTTTCCTTGTGTTATAGTGGACATCACTGAATAATTCATAGGCTTCTTCCTAGTTTTCCTTAGTCCTTCTAGCACTCAAGTTAGCAAATATCTGTGGCACCAATCTCCATGTTCTGATTCTGTGTCCTAATGAGGGTCTACACTGGAAACTGCCTGCTGGCCTGTGGGGAATCGTTCTCTTTTCTCTGTTGTCATCCTATCATTGACCTGACTGAGATACCAGAGATCACCAAACTCTCGGGCTGCAGTTACGGCGGCACTTCTCTCATTTGGGGTTAGTGTCTGATTTAGCAGTAACATTATATCTCTCCATGTCAGATCAAAGGATTGCCCTAACCCTTGTAAAACATCAATGTAGCCATCAGGGTTATCTGAGAATTTACCTAAGTCTATTTTAATTTGCGTTAAGTCTGAGAGAGAAAAAGGTACATGCACTCTGGCTGGGCCGAATTCTCCTCCTCCCACTGCTTGGAAGGGGCATAATCGGGGAATACTGACACTCTTTGGTTCATTGTTTACCTGTTTGTCTATCTCCTTTTGGACTGTTTGGGTTCAAGGGTGGTGCTTATTAGTTGGGGAAGGAGTCGGGGGAATGCTGGGATAGGGAGGTAGACTCTGAGGGCTTCCTGTAAGACATAAACCACACTTTTTACATAATTGTGAGTTGTCTCTTAATGAAAAGAAAGTTTGCACATATGGCACTTCACTCCATTTGCCTTCTTTTCTACAAAAGAGGTCTAGCTGTAAGATGGTGTTATAATTTGTACTTCCCTCAGGAGGCCAGGTTTCTCCCCCTTGAAGAGGATATCGTGGCCAGGCAGTACTGCAGAAGAATATAAGTCGTTTCTTTCTTGACATCTGAGGGTCAAATTGGTTCTAATTCTCCAGAATACATCTTAGGGGCGCTTTTGCCTTGGGGGGAACGTTTCCCATCTGAAGAAAGAACATAAGGATGCCAGCACCCCTAGTCATTTTCCGATGAGCATTAGTCCTAGAGCATCCTCTAAGGGCCTAATGCTTATTCTTTTCCAGCGTGCATAACCACTCATGGACCTCTGCTTATTGGATTAGTTACGCTCACCAATGTAGCAGTTCTGCACTCCTTTTCCTGCCTTTCTTGACCACAAAGAAAGGGGCCTGGGCTGCTGGATTCTAGTGGTCCTTTACCAGCGTGCCCAACATTGCCTTTGCGCTCAGCGGTGAGTCCTAGAGCTGGGCTGGGTTCCTGAGTATTTCATAACAACCCAGCTGCCCCATCAAGATGCATTCCCATAAACAACAGTTCTTCTGCAAATTCATTTCAGAGACTGTGTAGCTAACCTTTTGAGTCAGGATTGAGATAGTCTTTTGATTCTGTAAGTACTTTAAGGCTTGGCTGAGTGCAAACAGCTCGCACATTTGAGGAGACCAATTATTAGGCAAATTTTTAACTCTGCTTCCACAAGAGTCTCCATACCAATTACTGAATACCCATTGTAGTTTTTTCCTCAGTCACCTGGGAGGAACCATCTATCGTCCTGTGCTGAAGGGAGTTCCTCCTAGGTCTGGTCGGACCTTCGTGTGGTAATTAAGATTTAAATCCCCTGTTAGGAAATCTGCTGGGTTAAGGGAGTTATCAGTGGTTGGAGTTACATTACCCTTTTCTAGCATAGTAGCCCCATACTTTAAGATTATTGAGTTAGTAAGCTACCTTTTTGCTTTTTTTTTTTTTTTTTTTTTTACTTAGAATAACTCTGAACTGGTGAGGTGTGCTCACAATGAGGTTTCCTCTAAAAGTTACTTTTCTACTTTTAGCAAAGCTGTTGCCGCTACCGACTGAATGCATTTGGCCTATCCGCGGGTTACTGGGTTAAGGATTTGCTACGCCCTTATTTACACTGACAACAAAGTGGCAATTATCAATTACAGGTTTTAAATTTACCCTGGCTTTTAAAGGAATAGGGCACACTTTTTTTTTTTTTTAACTATTTCTATCTTTTTCTTTCTTTTTCTCTTTGACTCCCTCTTTGTCTCTTTCTCCGTCTCTCTCTCTCTCCGTCTCTCTTTCTTAGCCATTACAAACTTGGGGCCCTCACAAGGGTGGTGGGGAACAGGTCCCACATAACTGCCCATGTCAAGAGCTGTATACCTAAATCGGGAGGGATACCAGGGATAAGACTCCCTGGGTTATAGCCTAGGTGCCTAAGGACACAGCATAGAGCCTCCTTAGATCCCTTTGGAGACACAACTTGCTAGAGGAAATGAAAGTCTGAACTATTAGTACCTAGGAGGCAGGAGGCAGGGATCAAAGGAAGTAGATTCAGAGGTAAGGAGAATTTTGGGGCTAAACTCTCAAGAAAGTCGGAGTCGGGACCCCGGAGGTATAATTCAGAAGGAAAGGTAAGGGCGCACGCATGGGCGACTGCCGAGTAGAGACTTCTGGCTGCGCCATGATCTCAACCGGCTACTGCCGGGAGTTCGGGACAACAGCTTTCTGCCTCCAGTCAGCCCTTGGCTTCCCCAAGAAAATTGAAAGTGGAAGCTGGCTCCAGGCAGACCAAAGTTCCCAACAGAAGGCTTGGGGGTTGTTAGAAAGCCCTTTCCCAGATAGCCTCACACCTGAGTCTTAAGTCCGGCGGCCATGCTAATCATTTTTAACTGGCGACAGGTGCCCAGTATTTTCCTCCAGTTCTAAGGATAGAACAGAATAGCAAGCGAAAGTGGTCCAATATTACTCACAGCTTTGGATGTCCCTTCGTGGTCGCCAAAATGTTACCAGGGGTCCTTGTTCACAGAACTCCCAAGACGGTGGTGAGCCACTTCCAAGATGGTGGCAGGCTGCTTCCAAGATGGTGGCAAGCCTCGTGTTCTCTGACCTGGGGTTCTTGGCCTCACGGATTCCAAGGAATGGAATATTGGGCCATGTGGTGAGTGTTATAGCTCTATTAGAAGCCGCGGGTCATGGAAGAGAACCGTGGAACCCAGTGACTAGTGTTCAGCTGGATTAGGACGAACCCAGGCACTTAGCCATGCAGGAACAATGGCAAGCCTTTAGCACTATCGGGAGTGGCAATGGGAGTCTTGCTGGATCAGGAGCACAGCGGACACCCTGCCGGATCCGGAGGGATGGGAGTCAGCAGCGGGATGGGAGTCAGCGGCGGGTCTGTGACAGCAGCAAACAGTAGTGGTGGACGGCAAGTGAAAGCTCAGCTCAAGCCGTGACAAATATGGACCAGAAGAGTGCAATTGCAAGATTTAATAGAGTGAAACACAGTGAAAACAGAGCTCCTATACAAAGGGAGGGGACTCAAAGGAGGTTGCCGTTGCTGGCTCAAATGCCTGGGTTTATATCCTGGTCCTTGTCCCTCCCACTGTGCTCTCAGGCAATAGATGACTTGCTATTTCTTTACCTCCTGTTTTTGCCTAATTAGCATTTTAGTGAGCTCTCTGATTGGTTGGGTGTGAGCTAAGTTGCAAGCCCTGTGTTTAAAGGTGGATGCGGTCACCTTCCCAGCTAGGCTTAGGGATTCTTAGTCGGCCTAGGAAATCCAGCTGTCTCTCACTCCCACATGTCCCCATTCCAAGTTTTAGGGTTCCATTCTTTTCCAATTAATGCCCTCACTTTAACAGTAGACACCTGAGGAGAGTGAGCATGCATCTTTCATTGCAGGCCAGCCACTCACATGATAAGAGCTTGTGTCTGATTTTCCCCAATTACATAATTCTTTAGCATGCATCATGTTTGAGAAAACATTGCTTCTGACCAAGGATATCAATTCACAGCAAAGTGTGGCAATAGGCCTAGGATCCTGGTATTTATTGATCTCATTTTGTTACCCAACATACTGAAACAGCTGGCTTGAGAGAATGATAGAATATTCTTTGGAAGACTCACCAGTTGCCATTTAGGTGGTAATACTGTATAGTGCTGTAATAATGTCCTCCAGGAACCTTTATATGCTATAAATCAACTTCCCATACATGGCGCTGTTACTCCTAAAGCCCAGATTCATAGGCATAAAAATTAACATGTGGAGATTAAACACCATTACCATTGGTGATTATTGAAAAATGTTGCTTCCTTTCTCCAGGATCTTATGCCCTGCTTAGTTTCAAAGGGAGCAATGATTCCATCAGGAAATAAAATGATAATTCCACTAATTTCTAAGTTAGGACTTCCATTCATTTACTTTGGCCTCCTTATTTCTTTGAATCTTAGTAATTTTCCTGGACTTCATATATTTCTTGCTATGTATTTAACTCAATGTTATCTTATGAAATTCTGAATCTGACTGTTACTTCCCCAATCTAACTAGAAATTTAGAACACTTTAACTTTCCTCTGGTGTCTCCTTTCTTCTTGTTCACATACTTGAAATCTCAGGTTTTAGCTATATCTTATTTTCTACCCATTCAATTTTAATACTAATTCCAATTTTCTTTGCCTACAAAGTGTTGTCAGTTACTACGTCCATCTTTGAGTCTTGTGTTCAGTTTTTTTCCTTCTGAATTTAACATTTTTCTTTCCTGAATTTCCTATTAAAATAGTTATATAATAAGGTCTTTAGTAAGAACAGCTAGGTAAAGTATTCTAAACAATATTTCACTCTTAGTTCTTGGGCATTTCCCTCTATTGCTACTGATTAGCCTTTTGTAGGTCTATTTTCTATTATTCCATTAAAAATATATGCTTTGTAATTCTATTCTGTGGATACTTTTTTCTTTGTAATATTCTGCATTTTTGTATTTTTTGGTCTTGTTTGCTTACTCTTTTCAATCTGAATGTCTTTTCAATCCTAGAATATTCTTCAGCACTATGTATATATACACACACACGTGTGTATATATATGTGAATATGTGTGTGTATATATATACACACATATATAGTTTTGAAGAATATTCTAGAATTGAATATATATATATATATCTCATTCTAGAAGCAAATAATTGAGAAATGGAAAATTTATTATTTTATTTATTTTTTAAAATATTTTAAAACATAGTTATACACACACATATGTGGTCTTTTAGAATACACGTCTAAATATCCATCTGTATCTATCTATCTATCTTTAATCACTCACAGGGTTTTTATTTGTCAAGTGCCCCAACTGACTTCTTAAAATTTCCTATCTCTATGCCTAACGTGTTTTGTTGCGTTTGAGCTCTTTTCACCAAGCTGTCTCATCTATTACTTTTCTTTCCATGTTTACATTTATATCTCCATGTTTATATTCATGCTATTTTATTTTACATTTTTGTATATTTCTTGATTACATTCTGTAATATATTTTTTCCAGGATGATTCTCTCTGATTATTGGCTTCTGAGTGGTCCCTAAGAGAATGTATTGTTTGCTATTAGTAATTTCTTATACTTTATAAGTCCTGGAGCAGCTACCTTTGTTATCTAATGAGTGCAATTTTTGTCCTTCCCTCACTGATTAGAAAGCATTCATAGGGATATAAACAGCAGCAAAGGTAATAGCTACTTCAACTCTTTTTCACTGCCTTGGCTTTAAACTTCTTTTGCAATTCAGGTCCTCAGGAATTTATTTTATTCTTTTATCTGAAATATGAAAGAAATCTTGTATATTTATATATACATATTTAATATATGTAAAAAGTATAAAACATATAAATGTACTTATATGTAAATACATACATAATCTGTAGCTTTTGCCTTGTTTGCAACTGGTTTTATTTTAAGGCCACTTTGAGGAAACATGAAGGTCTAGTTATAGATTTATAGCTCAGTTATAATAAATATTTAAAATGTCTGTATTCATTATAGGCTAAATCAGAATTTCAGGTCAGTAGAAGTATTTTCTAAATTGTTTTAATATGATTCTTGCTATAAACTGTGGAGAATAAAAGTAAGAAAGCAGCATAATTAACAGGGACATTTCCCAGTCATATAACCTGAGTATTGGTCTATGTAAAAGAAAAGTGCTCAAACTAAAATATATATGTTTTATATTAAATCTGAATTTATATTTATATACAAATTTTTTAAATATTTTTATCCCAATTTTTTTATCCCAATTATTTTTATATTTATATCCCAATATTTATTGGGATATAGGCCCCCCCATCAAAATTTTTAAATTCAATTTTATTTTAAATGACAGCAGGACAAAATTAAGATACAAATGTGTAATACCTAATTCTTCTAACTGAACAAGCTTGATTTATTGAATAAATAAGACACATCTAATAAACAGGTTTGAGTATAACTGAAATGAATTGTTAAAGTATGATAGAATAAATATTTATATGGACATTTATACCCAGCTACCAACGATCTTCCTTGTTATGCTGTGTTAATTTCACACCTACTTTTCGATTGAAGCAAGACTTTTAAAGAAATAAATAACATAGCATTGTATCTGTGGTAGAAACCATGTGCACAACAGGCTAGGAGTGAGAGAGATGAGATTAAATAAAAGTGAAAAATTCATCGATCTCTTACCCAAATTTTAGGATTGTCCATGGAAACTTTGGAAATATAGGTGTGCTTAATTTCAAAATTGTGTGTACTTCTCCCTTTTTAGAGGATCCAATGAGTAACTTTTTTAAATGTTTGATTGCAGTTATGGGCACATCATGTAAGTAATAAAGGAAATTTTTTTCTAGTAATCGCAGCTGCTAGAGGACAAGGTGGCAACAGAAGCAGTGGTACAGCCATCTGCTCTACAGAAAGCAAGATGGAATTCTTTGGGACTGTTGATTAAACAAGTTTATTTAACTTCTTTTTGGAGAAAAAAATCTTCTGAAATTATAAATTCAATTAATAGGTTATTGACCATCAAGAAAGAGCTACCTTCATTTTAAGTTTACATTTTCTCATATGTTAAATTGCTGTCTATGACAGCCTTTAACTTTATTAAATTTACAGATTGTGCTATCTTATTTTCATACAAACTATGAAATCTATAAAGGACAAAGGATGTCATAGTTTCAGCCATCTCACATTGATTAGAGAATATTACAACATATGAAATAATCATAAAAATACCTGAACTTAATTGCAAATTATTTATATCACTTATATTTCTTTTGTTTTTGATCATTCCTTCATCAGGAAGAGAAGTGGAAAAATAATTAAACTCACACTGGTCAACTTCGATGGAAAATAGATTAAAGCCCTAACTAAAATGGTTTTAAGTGTCTTCCATAAAGTGCTCTTCCCATAACCAATAAAGGTGGCAGAATTCGGTCAGTTAACATTCACCTATTAAAAAATGATTTATACTTGATCATTGATAAAAACTGAGCTAAGAATGGTACCAGTTATTGAAACATAACTTCAAACCTGAGGCTAGCCAAAGGATTTATTTTCCTCTCCCAAATATAATTTACAAGAGTAACAAGCAAGTAATTTGATTAATTCTTATTCCACTCACTTTAGTTCTTATTATTTTGCCCAAAGCACCGGTAATTAATTAAGATAAAAATAATATGAGATGAGAAGCAATTAAAATGGTATAAATTTTCCTTAATTAAGTCTCTCAACTTAGCAGGTTATATTTTGGCATTTTTTATTCAAGTATAGCTGAACAAATTGTCATATTTCTTAGGAAAAATGGTTTATCAAATATATTTGCACATGTGCTGGAGATATATACCTTTTGCCAGAATAGAATAACAATTTCTTTCAAAAAAATTGTTACTAAGTTAACTCATTATAAAATAATACAAAAAAGTGTTATTTTTCCAAAAAGAAAATAAATATGAATCCAATTTTGCCTAGAGTGTTGAAGCCCCCAATGTTTGCGATTATTTGCATCTTCATCCAAACAGATGGCATGCTTAAATTCTCCAAGTATTATCACCTCTCTGCCTTTCCCAGTTTTCTGTCAAAGCAAACAACAGTAACGCTTGATAGAAAACAAATAATCATATGAATAGTACAAAGTGAATGTTAAACTTAAACTTACCATGTTTCTGTCAGAAACATTTATTGATAAATTAAACTATTAAAAGATTATATTAACTATTTTAACAAATTAGCACATTTAACAGATTTAGCTATAAAGCTACATTAACTAGAAATATAAAAATAATGGATAACTGAACTGGGTCTAAATATTTAACCATTTTTTAGTCACATCTTGTTTTGGAAAATATTGCTTAGGAAGCATTCTATTATGATAACAGTTATTAAACTGAGCTGGGTCTTGAATTTCATCAATGATCAAATGCAGTAAGGTGTAGAAACACCAGAATGTGAATTTATACATGTCAGCGTCTCTTTTATGCTCTTTCCTTTTTTCTCCCTCTCCCTTTTCTGTCCTTTTTCTCTTTCTCTCCCTTCCCTCTGCTTTTCCATACACACACACACACACACACACACAAACACAAACACACACACACACATACAAATGAGTTGCTAACCATTTTGAGAAGCTTCATTGACTTCTTAGATTGTATACTTAGACATTTATTTTAGAACTGAAATGTAGGTTAAATATTATCATTGTAAATATTACTATTTTAGTCATTCTTCCTCTATCAAATCACATCCCACCACTGAGTCTATATCATCACATGGTTTTATCCATTTCTACATTTAAGCCTCAGATGAAGCGTTATCACCTACTGTACATCTCCTAGGCAGAGGAGGCAAGTTGTCAACCACACTCTATTCCGTTATCCTTTTTACTTTACTTTTGATTATATATTATCATTTGAAATTATTTTTATCATTCATTGGGTTACTTTTTTGCTTCTACTTACCCTTTGTAGATTGTAAATTTCAAGAAAGAATGAAAGATGTCAGTTTTGCTAACTGCTACGTTATTGGCACCTCTAACAATACCAAGCTTGGGGAAGTGTTCAGTAAATTCCAGGTGACAAAAATAAAAATGGAGAAATATTATTTCTTTAAAAACATTAATGAAAGTTACTAATAATAAATAATTTAATCATGTATAAAATTATTTATTTCACAATTAATAATACCTTTTCTTTTAAAAAGAAATTTCTTTACTAAATACATCTGTCCTCTCTATTTTATTTGTATAAATAATGTATGTGAGTTTAGCCTTCTCTACTAAGCTGATTTTAAAAAACAACCTTAACAATATAATTTCAATATTCCAGGCAGACTGTGTTCACTGTCATGGGATATTGACTCACTAAAAATCAATGTCCATTGATGGCAGAAAACACGTGTTATAATTAACATAAAATATTTGAGTGTTATAAAGAAAAAAATATTAAACACATGACCTCAATATTTGAATAAAAATCACTTTGTCCTCTTAGAACTTTCTGCCTATTTCTTCCTGTGGATTATAAGGAATTGTAATAACTATTTTTACTTTTTTTTGGATAAAATGAGGTCTTAGTGTGTCTTTGCTATTACCTTTCATGTCTAACACAATTTATGGGGCTTTGTAATGTCTCAAGGGCTGTATGTTAGGAGGAAAATATTCTTATGCATTACTGCTCCACACCAAAAGTTCTTGGGCTTGGAATATAGCAGATTATTAAAGCCCACAAAATAAATCAATGAAGCTGGAAATGAATGTCAACACAGATATTTTCATGATTTTGCAATTATGTATGTGAAATTAGATTTCATTATTTATATCTCAAAACCTTCCAAAGTTTCCAGTCAAGATGGTGGACTAGAAGCAGCTAGTGTATGCCGTTCTCACAAACAGGAAACAAAGTGGTGAGTAAACACTGAACCTCAAGCCAATTGTCTAAGAAACTATGTCAGGATCCATCAAGGGAGTGAAAGGACACAGAGATTAGAGGAGAGTGAAGCTGGGCAGCCGCTCATCTGGGATCATCATGGAGGTAGAAGAATCTCCCCAACATAGGAAAACAGTGAACTAGTGACAGCCCTCAGGAAATCCACACTTCCCACAGGAGCCTGTGCAATCCTAGGAACAGGAGAATCCTCCTCATCCCCTCAGGCCTTAGAACGATACAGAGAGGTGCCCAGAGTTTTTGCGGAGGCAACACTCGAGTCCACAGGGATATCCACAGGTCTTGGACTCCAGAGTAACCTGGTGCCAGATGCGATAGCCTCAATAGAGGCCACAGTCATGATGCCCAGGAGCAGTAAGATTGCTCCACACCTCTTTGCCAGACAAGGCTTGGCACCAGCTTCCAGCACAGTAGCCTCGCTTCTGCTTGAACTCTGATGGAGATAGCTCCATGTTCCCATGGGAAGCACCACGTTTGCAGAGCAGGCAACTCCACACATCTCTGCTGCTCATAGCCAGGTGGTCATGCCTGCTTGCCTTCAGCACAACAAACTGGCTTCTGCCTGAATGCTGCAGGTAGGTTCAGCTTTAGGTTTCCCCGAATCTCTGCAGAGGAGTGTAGTTCTGTGTTCCCTTTGGAGGCACCCAAAGGGTACACTGGGTGACTCCATCCACCCCTGCTCCTCATTACCAGGCAGTACATATCAGTTGGGTATGCCAACACAGCATGCCCACCTATGTCTGAACTCTGTGGGTTGGTAGAGTTCTGTGTTCCCCTGGGAAGACCCATACGGTTGATAGGGTGACTCCACCCACCCATACTGCTCCTAGATGGATGAGACATACTGGCTTGGGCTTACAGACAAGGAAGAATCTGGATGGCAAGGAGGCTTATGACAAAAGGCTAAACGCAATCCAAGGAATCCAGAGAATACAATGACACTACCTAGGAGCTAAAGGATGAAATGGACATTTTAAGAAAGTAGCAAACTAAACTTCTGGAACTGAAGAATTCACTTCAAGAACTTTATAATATGATTGAAAGCATTAAAAGCAGAATAGATCAAGCTGAGGAAAGAATTTCAGGGCTTGAAGACCAGTACATTGAAACACCTCAGTTACATAAAAATAAATTTAAGAGATTGTTAAACATGATCAAAACTTCTGAGAAATATGGGATTATGTAAAGAGACAATATATATGACTCATTGGCACTCCTGAAAGAGGAGAGTGAGCAACTCTAAAAGCATATTTGATTATATAGTTCATGAAAATTTCCCCAATCTTGCTAGAGGGGAGGACATCAAAATTTAAGAAATACAGAAAACTCTATACAAAATACAGGTACATAATGGCCAGATTGACCAAATATTAACACAAAATAAAAAAAATGAAAGGCTCCTAGAGGGAAAGACCAGGTCATCAGGCTAGCAGTGGACTTTTCAGCAGAAACTTTATAAACCACATGAAATTAGAGTCCTATTTTCAGCATTTTTTAAAATTTTTATTTTCAGCATTCTTAAAGAAAAATATATTCCAACAAAAATTTTATATCCTGCCAAAATAAGCTTCTTTAGAGAAGGGAAATTAAAATCCTCCTCAAACAAGCAAGCACTAAGAGCATTTGTTACCACCAGACCAGCCTTACAAGAAATTCTTAAGGGAGTACTAAATATGGCAACGAACATTAAAACCTGCTACCACAAAAACAGTCAAGCATATGGCCTGCAGACAATATAAAGCAATTACACAATCAAGTCTACAAAAGAAACAGCCAACGACGTGATGACAGGATCAAAATCTCCTATATTGATGCTAACCCTGAATGTAAATGGCCTAAATGCTCCAATTAGGCATATAGTGGCAAGCTGGATAAAAAGACAAGAATCATTTGCTGTCTTTAAAAGCTACGTCTCATAAGTAATGACACTTATCAGCTCAAAGTAAAGGGATGGAGAAAGATCTACCATTCAAATGGAAAAGAGGAGGAACTGATATTGTTATATCAGATAAAACAGACTGTACACCAACCACAGTAAAAAAGTACAAAGAGCAGCATTACATAACAATAGAGTGTTGGATTTAACAAGACTTAACTATCCTAAATATATATGCACCCAAGATGGGAACATTTAGATTTATAAAACAACTTCAACTTGACCTAGGAAAAGATTTAGACAGCCACACAATAATAGTGGGGGGACTTCAACAACCTGCTGACAGCATTAGACAGACCATCAAGACAGAAAACTAACAAAGGATTTCTGTGCTTAAATTTGACACATGACCAATTGAACCCAATAGACATTTACAGGATATTCCACCTAAAAACCAAAGAATATTCATTCTTCTTATCTGCAGAGAGAACATAATCTAAGACTGACCACATACTCAGCAATAAAGCAAGTCTAAATAAATTTTAAAAAAGCATACCAAACACACTCTTGCATAACAATTACAATAAAAATAGAAATAATACCAAGAAGATATCTCAAAAATACAGAAAAAAGTGGAAATTAAACAACTTGCTTCTGAATACCTCTTGGGTGAACAACAAAATTCAGGTAGAAATCAAAAATTTCTTTGAAAGTAATAAAAATAGAAACACATCTTACCAAAATTTTTGGAATATAGCTAAAGTAATGTTAAGAGGAAAGTTTATGGTGCTAACTGCCTTCATCAAAAGGTTAGAAAAATCTCACACTAATAATCTAACATTGAACCTATAGGAATCAAGAAAAAAAAATACAACACCAAATCTAATGGAAGAAAAGAAATAACTGAAATTAGATAAGAATAAAATGGAGGCCCAGATGTTTATACAAAAGATCAATAAAATCAAATATTAGTTCTTCAAAAGAATAAACAAGATTGATAGACTGTTAGCTGGATTAACAAAGAAAAAAAAGACAGAAGATCCAAATAAGTGCAATCAGAATTTAGAATGATGAGATTACAACCAATTCCCCAGAAGTAAAAAAGATTCTCAGAGACTATTATGAACATGAATTAGGAAATCTAGAGGAAATGGGTAAATTTCTAGAAAGACACAAACTCCCAAAATTGAACTAGAAATAAAATGAAAACCTGAACAGACCAATAACAAGTTCAGAAATTGCATCAGTATAAAAACAAAAAACAGAAAAAAAAAAAATCTACCAACCCCAAAACATCCCGGACCTGATGGATCCACAGCAAGATTATATCACATGTACAAGTAAGAACTGATACCAATCCTACTGAAACTACTTCAAAAAATTGAGGAGGAGAGGTTCTTCCCTAACTATAATTCTATGAAGCTAGTATCATCCTATTAACAAATTCTAGCACAGACAGGACCAACAATGAAAACTACAGGACAATATTGCTGATGAACATAGATACAAAAATCCTCAGTAAAATACTAGCAAATCATATCCAACAACAAATCAAAAAGTATATTTTATTGCTATAATGGAAGATTAGTTCAACATAGTAAATCAGCAAAAGCAATTCACGCATAAACAGAATAAAAACAAAAAACATATGATCATCTCAATATATGCAGAAAAATCTCTGATAAAGTCTAAGATACCTTCATGATAGAAACTCACAAAACACTAGGCATTGAAGGAACATGCTTCAAAAGTAATAAAAGCCATGTATTCATGTGTGACAAATCCACAGCCAACATCATACTGAAGTTGGTAGCATTCCCTTGAGAACTGAAAGAAGCTAAGGATAGCCACTCTCACCACTTCTACTTAATATAATACTGGAAGTTCTAGCCAGAGCAATCAGGTAAGGAAGAGAATTAAAAGGCATCTGAATAGGAAAAGAAGAAGTCAAACTATCTCTCTTTGCTGATGATTTGATTCTATAAATATAAAACACTAAAGACTCTGCCAAAAGACTCAGTTTCAGGATACAAAAATCAATGTCCAAAAATCGGTCACATTAATATACACCAATAACATTCTAGCTGGGAACCAAATCAAGAACAAAATTTCATTTACAATGGGCACAAATACATAAAATGCCTAGGGAGTCCTATAAACAAGGAATTACAAGTTCTCTACAAGGAGCTCTACAAACACTGCTGAAATAAGTCTGAGAAAACACACATAAATGAATAAATAATTTCATGCTCATGGATAGGAAGAATCAATATTTTTTAAATGGCCATGCTGCCCAAAAGATTGCAAACTCAATGATTATCAAAATACCAAAGACATTTTTCAAAGAACTAGACAAATCTACTTAATAATTCATTTGGAACCAAAAAAGAGCCCAAATAACCAAGGCAGTTTTAAGTAAAATGAACAAAGTCTGAGGCATCACATCATCTTACTTGAAATTATACTATAAGGTTACAGTAACCAAAACAGCATGGTGCTGATGTAAAACAGGCACATAGACCAATGGAACGAATAGAGAGCCTAGAAATAAAGCTACCCACCTCCAACTATCTGATCTTCAACAAAGTTGAGAAAAAACAGCAATGCAAAATGACATCCTGTTCAATAAATGGGTCTGGGATAACAGGCTAGCCCCATGTGGAACAATGAATCTGGTCCACTATCTATCATCTAACTTGAGATGGATAAAAGTTTAAATCTAAAATCTCAAAGTACAAAAATCCTAGAAGTAAACATAGGAAATATAATACTCATCATTGGTTTTGGCAAAGAATTTATGGTTAAGTCCCCGAAGGCAACTGCAATAAAAACAAAAATTGATATGTGGGACCTAACTAAACTAAAGAGCTTCTGCAGAGCAAAAGAAATTACCAACAGAATAAACAGACTGCCCACAGAATGAGAAAATATATTCATAAACTATACATCTGGCAAAGATCTAATATCCAAAATCTGTAAAGATCTTAAACAATCAACTAGCCAAAAACAAATAATCCAATTAAAACATGGTCAAAATACATGAACAGACACTTCTCAAAAGAAAATAATCAAGCCACAAACAAACCTATGAAAAAATGCTAAATATCTCTAATCATCAGAAAAATGCAAATCAAAACCACAATGAGATACCACCTTACACCAATCATAATGGTGATTATTAAAAAGTCAAAAAATAACAGGGTGGAGAGGCTGCAGAGAAAAGGGAATGCTTATAATACACTGTTGGTGGGAATGTAAATTAGTTCAGCCATAGTAGAAAGCAGTTTGGGAAGTTCTCATAGAATGTAAAATAGAGCAAACATTGGACCCAGCAATCTCATTACTGGTCATGTACCCAAAAGAAAATAATTCATTGTATCAAAAAGACACAGACACTCATTTGTTCATTGCAGCACTGTGCACAATAGCAAAGATATATTGTCAACCTAGCTGTCCATCAACAGTGGATTGAATAAAGAACATATGGCACATATACACCGTGGACTACTACGCAGCCGTAAAAAGGAATGAAACCCTTTCCTTTGAGGCAACATAGACAGAGATGGAGGTCATTGTCCTAAGCAAATTAATGCAAGAACAGAAAACCAAACTCCACTTTTGTTCTCACTTATAAGTGGGAGCTAAATATTGAATACACATAAACTTAAAGATGAGCATAATAGACATTGAGGCCTACTAGATGGGAGAGGGAAGGAGGGGGATGTAGGCTGAAAAACTAGCTATCAGGTACTAAGCTTACTACTTGGGTGAAAACATAATTTGTATCCTAAACCTCAGCATCATGTAATATACCCATGTAACAAGCTTGCAAACGTACCTTATAATAAAGGTTGAAATTATTTTTAAAAAATTATAAAGTGTAATTATTAGTAAATTTTAGTTCTCAGATTTCTCATTTGATATTTAATATGGGGCACTATAACTTGTTTCCTTAATATGCACAGATGATACATTTTTGTAATAAACTTCAATGTACTTTAAATTCTTTAAAATGCTAGTTGTATAATTTACAAGGTTTGCACTAATTAAATCTTTTGAAAAAATCAGATCAACATCTCTATATGGCATATATATTTTTCTCAGTATTCAGCATCTTAAATGTTATTAAGTCAAAAGATTTTATATACAATTTTATATATACCACATATACTGGCATTGCTTTTTGCTATCCAAAAGAAATGTATAGCAAAATTAACTTGTTTTGAAAACAAGACAACTGCTTTTACTTTACTGTTTTAAATATGTAAGCTTATCCAAGTTTTAAAAATTATAATCTGATACATTTTTAAAATCAAAAATTAATATTGCTTCCTGGATATAATTAATGACAACTATAAAGTGGCACTATCTGCTAATCTGCTTTTTGGAACTGACCTATTAGGATTCAGTTCACTAAAATCTGTTTTCATAAATGCTAAGCCTGTGTATCTTTAAAATGTTTTAAGACATCTAAATGTGGACATCTGATGAAACGAGTAGAACTTTGCAATTAATCTAAGAAGCATATTTTTAAGATACACATATGGCCAAACAGAAATGGAAAAAATACCCTGAGGCAATTACTAATCCTACTGTACTATAATTGCCATTGTGACTATTGGTAATAAACACAATGTTGATAACAAGTTACTTACTGAACAGTTTCTATGAGCAGGAAATTGTTGTACTCATTAAATTATCACAATAAGCCTATGAGTTTACTTTTATCATCTCCTTTTTATTAAGTAGAAGGAGAGAAATGAATGACTAACTCAAGGTCAGAAGTTGGGGAGATAGAAATCCAACCTAGGAATTTTAGTATGCTCATATCAGCCTCCAAAATAATTACTTATATTCACATGAATATATTAACATATTTCTCAGGATATAGTTATTTATTTCATATTTTTCCTTTATGTTTATATTTTATTTGAAAATTTTAGAAACCTTTAGATCCCAAGTGTTAAGATCTGAGCCTTCCAGGCTCCCTTCACACCTAAATAAGCATCAGAAATTCACAGATCCAGCTGCTCTTAGATTAAGTAAATGTTTACCTTTACAGAGTGATTACCAATTAAACAAAACCCCACTGTGGTAAGCTACTCTCTTTCATTTTCTCAGAATAAGTTTGAGTCCCCTATTTTATATATAACAAATTTTGGTATTCATCTGGACAAAGTGAAGGAATGTATCCTAAAATGGTAGCAAAGTATCTCTTTGGGGATTTATGGTTTATATAATCCTAAGTCACCACAGGAAAACAAAGATCTCCACTCAAAATTACTGCAAATTTGTGTTCACAAGCATATTTATCTGCTTCTCTTCATTATAGTTCTTCTTTTTCAGGCTTTGCTCTCATACATTGTAGATGATTGTGTTATGCTGAATTGGGAGGTGGGAAAAATGCAAAATACTCTTTTGAAGGAAGGACTTTTTACTAATGACTTAGGTCATTTAAAACAAAAACAGGCTTTAGTATTGCCCATATTCTGTAAGGCTTATTTATTACAGGAGGATAAAAACTGAGATTAGTTATAAATTTATTTTTAAGTTACCTTTCACCAATAATCAATTTAAGAGAAAGTAATAATATATTGTTAAAATTTTTAATGATTTAATTGCCTGAAATTTAAAATTTTATCTAAGTGATTTGTAAGAATAATACACTTGAAAATCAGTTTGCCAGTTCACTATTATATAATATTCCATGGATTCAATACATTAATTGAGTTATGCTATCTGCAATTATAAATTAATACCTGTATATTTGTGGCCTAATATAAATGTGTTTTTTTTTTATAAATCTAGTAATATTCTAATGATGGTTTTCCTGCCCAGGAAATTTGAGAGTTTGGTCTCTGAAGTCATTAAAATACCAAAGTTGCCCTGGAAGGAGGCATGTAACCATCAGAAGGTGAAAAAGCCTAGAAGAGAGCTTGTGAGATGTACCCATGGGCCATGATGGACATGGCACACTGCCTCTCCAGTGCACACCTGCATACTGCCTGTCATGGCTCAGATGCAGTCACAAAGAAACAGCAAAATACAAGCCTGGAAAAAAGACAACATGTGGAATGAGGAGGAAGAAAACCATGGATTTTGTTAAACAAAATCTTTTCTGAAATTTCTAATTACACTTATTTTATTTGTATATGGCAAATCTGAAATTAGTTTTTTTTGTTTTTTTTTTTGCGATGAAGTTTTGCTCTTGTTGCACAGGCTGGAGTGCAATGGCACGATCTCGGCTCACCGCAGCCTCTGCCTCCCAGGTTCAAGTGGTTCTTCTGCCTCAGCCTCCTGAGTAGCTGGGATTACAGGCATAGGCCACCACACCTGGTTAATTTTGTATTTTTAGTAGAGACAGGGTTTCTCCATGTTGGTCAGGTTGGTCTTGTAACATAGACAACAATGATCAGTATAATAATGCCTTTGAATATGGCTATTAAGAGTATTGCAATATATATATTTAATATATTGCCAACATGTTAGTGCAGAAAAAATTGTCTAGAAATGTTATATTTCTCAAAATCATTATTAGATGTACTTATTTTATTTTATAGAATGTGATTTGAGAAGACTTGTTCCTAAATCAAAAATTTTAATCATGTAAGTTTTAACTAAATTTAGATACTACTTTAGACACAATTATTTCCCAGTGCCTTATTTAAGTGTTTCATATAATAAAGAGAAAAAAATAGAAGCAAGATATTTTTGAACTAAGATGGGAAAATCTAGGATGAATAAAACATAAAAAGAAATTTGAGGTTCAAGGGTGTGAGATAAGGTAGAATTTCATTAACAGAATAAATATGTAAGGAAGCTTTTTAAAATTATTATTATACTTTAAGTTCTGGGATACATGAGCAGAATGTGCAGGTTTGCTACGTAGGTATACATGTGCCATGGTGATTTGGTGCACCCATCAACCCATCATCTAGATTTTAAGCCCCTTGTGCATTAAGTATTTGTCCTAATGCTATCCCTCCCCTTGCCCCCCACCCCCCGACGGGCCCCAGTGTGTGTTTCCCTCCCTGTGTCCATTCGTTCTCATTGTTCAACTCCCACTTACGAGTGAGAACGTGCAGCGTTTGGTTTTCTGTTCCTGTGTTAGTTTGTTGAGGATGATGGTTTCCAGCTTCATTCATGTCCCTGCAAAGGACATGAACTCATCCTTTTTTATTGCTGCATAGTATTCCATGGTGTATATGTGCTGCATTTTCTTTTTTCTTTTTTGAGATGGAGTCTCACTCTGTCTCCCAGGTTGGAGTGCAGTGGAGCGATCTCAGCTCACTGCAAGCTCCACCTCCCCAATTCACGCCATTCTCCTGCCTCAGCCTCCTGAGTAGCTGGGACTACAGGTGCGCGCCACCACGCCCTATGTGCCATATTTTCTTTATGCAGTCTATCATTGATGGGCATTTGGGTTGATTCCAAGTCTTTGGTATTGTAAATAGTACTACAATAAACATACGTGTGCATGTGTCTTTATAGTAGAATGATTTATAATCTTTTGGGTATATACCCGGTAATGAGATTGCTGGGTCAAATGGTATTTCTAGTTCTAGATCCTTGAAGAATTGCCACACTGCCTTCCACAATGGTTGAACTAATTTACACTCCCAACAGTGTAAAAGCGTTCCTATTTCTCTACATCTTCTCCAGCATCTGTTGTTTCCTGACTTTTTAACGATTACCATTCTAACTGGTGTGAGATGGTATCTCACTGTGGTTTGATTTGCATTTCTCTAACGACCAGTGATGATGAGCTTTTTTCATATGTTTGTTGGCCACATAAATGTCTTCTTTTGAGAAGTGTCTGTTCATATACTTTGCCCACTTTTTGATGGGGTGGGTTGTTTGTTTTTTTGTAAATTTAAGTTCCTTGTAGATTCTGGATATTAACCCTTTGTCAGATGGATAGATTGCAAAAATTTTCTCTGTAGGTTGCCTGTTCACTCTGATGATAGTTTCTTTTGCTGTGCAGAAGCTCTTTAGTTTAATCAGATCTCATTTGTCAATTTTGGCTTTTTTTGTCATTGCTTTTGGTGGTTTAGTTATGAAATATTTGCCCATGCTTATGTCCTGAATGCCTAGGTTTTCTTCCAGGGTTTTTATGGTTTTAGGTCTTACATTTAAGTCTTTAATCCATCTTGAGTTAATTTTTGTATAAGGCATAAGAAACGGGTCCAGTTTCAGTTTTCTGCATATGGCTAGCCAGTTTTCCCAATACCATTTATTAAATAGGGAATCCTTTCCCCATTGCTTGTTTTTGTCAGGTCCTTTTAATCACCCTGCTGACCAGGTAGAACTCCTCTGCCTTCCCCTCCTCTCCACTCCTCTCCCCTCCCCTCCCCTCCCCTCTCCTCTCTCTCTCTCCTCCAACAGAAATAAGGATTTGGATAATCCTAATACTTTTATATGGGACAAAGCAGGAAAATAAAGAATCAAAAAAAGAAATACTTTTTATAAGATCCAAAATGAATTTCCTGAGACTTTTCAACTTTTGCTGAGCAGAACGAGAATAGAAAAGATTTTGCAGATTGTTTACTAGAAATTGGTCCAGTTTAAAAATTGTCCACGTTATTATAAAGCCTGGTTAAATGGAGCTAAAAAAAATCTTAAAGAATAGCTGTTTCCTGAGAGTGAGTTATGCGGAATCAAGATCAAGGAAAGTTTTTCCCCAAGGGCTTATATATCAGCTGATTACCAGAACCATACCATTACTCTCCTCAAAATAAATAAATAAATAAATAAATAAATAAATAAATAAATAAATAAATAAATCAGTGACAGTGTCAAGCAGTTACATATTATCCCTTTTTACTATTGGAAAGCATTTTTGTCTTAAGCTATTGGAATTAATATATTACTTAATTGGTTTTAGCATACATGTGGGCCATCAATTTTAAGTGACATAATAGTAATCTTTATGCTTAAAATGAAATATTTATTATTTAAAATAAGTAATAATAATCAATGCATATGAATGTAAGAATAATACATTTTTACAATAATATTCATCCATATGATGAGTAGCTAAAATTGAAACTCCTGTTGTACTCTAGCAGTTTATTTATTTTCTGGCACTTTATTTCTGTTAAATTAGGAAATACCAATTTAGGTTGTTAAGTTTGGCAATACATATGGGTAGCTTGTTCAAATAATGCTTTGTATTTTTAACAATTATACAGTGATTTTTCATTGAATACCACTATTATCTCTCTGTGAGTTGATACATAATACATTATATACAAGATATAATATTTGGTGGCAGAAGAAAATAGTTTTAAATTTTATTCTGTGAGACCAAGATATTGGAGTAGGAGATACCAGCTTTCATCCAGCTACTCTCTCTATATATAAATATATTAAGATACTCTCTCCTATTCTCTCTCTCTATCTCTCTCTCATTGTTGGTTGCAAGAATAGTTTATATTAAATATGCATATGCATATTTAATAAAAGGTAAAAATGACACGATTTTCTCAACATACAGAAAAAGCATTTGACAAAACTCAACACTCTTTTATGATAAAAATTCTCAATAAACAAGAAATAGAAGGAATATATTTTAACATAGTGTAGACCATATATGGAAAGTTCATAACTGATATCATACTCAATGAAAATCTGAAAGCTTTTCCTCTAAGATCAGAAACACAAGGCTACCAACTCAACATAGTAATGAGTGACCTAGCCACAATTTAGACAAAATAAATACTAGACATCTGAATTAGAAAGGAACCAGTAAAATTATCCTCTTAAAAGACCATCTGATCTTTATGTAGAGAAAATCCTAACTCTCACAAAAACAAAAAAAACTGTAAGAATTAGTGTATATATACATATATATATAAATATATATAGACACATACGTATATGTTAGTATATATATAATTTACATATATATGGAATATCAGTCATTACGTATGCTTCACCAGAATTACTTCAGTTTTTTAAAGATATATTTCTGATGATGTACTATTAGTAAAAATAATTAATAATGTAACCACCTGACCCCCTCAGGTCTAAGAATAACAAATAAATTCACTGAAAAAACAACTAAAATATAATGTATAATTCTTTATAACTTTACACAAAGATGCTTCAATCTACTGTTTAATGACCATCCAAACTTATGAAGGCCTCTTTCCCTGGGCCAGGCCACAACTGTATTTTTTTTAATTGTAAAGCGATAGAAATTTAATGAAACTAAAATTCAGACAGTAGTCTAAATATTTTATGTATCTAGTGAATGTGATGCCATGCAATGATCAGATATTGTCCTTATTACCTTCAGTCCTCTACCACAGATGTGAATCTTTGAAATGCTGTTAAATCTTAGAGCTGATAGTGCTCAGAAGCTGGCTCAGGGATGACTTCAGAGAGATTATCCTCCAGTTTACATCAAAGAGTCTTGGAGAACAGCTTAGTTCGCCTTACAAAAGAGAGAGGAATTTTTCTGATCTATTTACTACTTTTTCCAAGGCTGAATGCATGGTTTTTGTGAAAACACAATTCCAACTTTCTCTTGCTCTATTAAAGACTGAATGTCACAAAGTTTCTCTCTAAACAATGGAGATGAGACATAGGTATAAAAACTGGCAGGTAAATAGGATTTATAAACCACATGGTTTAGTCAGTGGCTTTACAAACGATGTACATCTGGCATCAATGTTTCACATTCAGGCAAAAATGTAATAAACTGTTGGTGATTATTGTGTGCAGAAAAAAAATGATTATAACGTGGGCTCCATTTTAAATACTACAACATGAATGACAAATTCTGAAATCGTAATATGCACTACCTAAATAACTGTGAGAAGGGGCCAATCTCAGGCCCCAATTTGGAAAAATTTCCCATACTCTTTTTATTTACTCAAGTATGCTACTTGAGCAAGAAACTTTAAATTATATACATGGTCTCTGCTGACTCTAATTTACTAGAGTTAAAAAAAAATCTGTTTCACATTTTAGAAATTCATGTCTGTTTTCACCTTCTATGCACTCCTCTAAGGGGAAGCCTAGTTTTTCTCACACTACAAGAAGGCACTACAGGCAGATGTAAAGACTGGGATGGCTATTAGTGGAGATGGTGCACCTGGCAAATTAGCCTTCAATTCACGCTCAGAATCAATAATCAGGAACCTACGGCTTTTTAAAATGTTTTGATTTGTTTTCTGGGTACTTGCAGTGTTGTAGGCAAACTAATATATAGTCAGACTTCCCAGAAAAAGAAAAGAAGGCCAAGAATTTATATCAATACACATTGAAAGTGCAATACAAACTTCTTAAAGGACTGAAGGGTTTCTCACCTCTATCAAGTGTTGATAAGTAGGGTGTCTGTTTTGGGAAGATGAGGGCTAGGGAAACATGCTACTCTAATCAGAAGAATTATATTGTCCCTTATTCTTGTACACCTTTCATCATTGTTATTCTTGTATAATTTACATAAAGAAAGAAAGAACCTTTATATTTGTATATTTCAGTGACTGAAAGCAAAGTCTGTGAAAAGAAGTTGGGTATAGTTGATTATCTGGAGGTGATGTGAGGAAGCAGGAAGGGTGCAAGTGTGTGAGACAGAGAAAATGGAAGAATCACAGGAAGATGTTTCGTTTGGGAGGCTACTGCTGTAGACCACTGTGACCCAACTCTCCTGAGCCCTCTGAATGTGGATCAGAGGTACAAGAGGTCTGAAGTACAAGGGATTCTTATGGTCCTTCTGCAGATTTGCACACCAGCTCCCATTCCCACATTGGATGAGGGCACTTGCTGGAAGTATTAATTGCTTTCCACTTCATGGAAAACTGATGAAGAAAAGCAGAAAGATGAGAGTTATGCAGGATGTTTGAGGTTTCATTCTTTTTTTGTACAAAACATTAATCCATCATTGCTTCTGTTGGTGTCAGAATTGAGCTGAGGGAAGATGGCAGAAAAATGACTAGTTCACTCAATACTCTTCCATTAATCACTGTCCTGCTTTTGCAACTGTACACATACTGCATCTTATGGACTGCATATTTGTGTCATCCCCAAAATTTCTGTATTGACAGCTTAACACCCAAAAGGACGGTATTAGGAGGTGAGGCTTTTAAGGTGTAATTAGGTCCTGAGGCTGGGACCCCAACAAACTCCATGACAGAGTTATTGTTTTTTTTGGAAGAAGAGAGCTAGCCCTATCTTATTCTCTGCCAATAAAACAGCTCCTTTAAAAATCAATTAAAAACTAACTCTTGTAGGTCCATTGGTTGAAAGATTTGTTATTATTGATTACAGTCAATAATTATGAAATATAACTTTAAAAAATTTGCATTTTGAATCCAGGTTTTATATAATGATAACATATCTAGAATAGGTGGTTATTTTGAGGAATAAAAATTACATAAATATAAAAATTTAAAATTTATACACTATAAATATAAAAATAAATATATTAAATACAAATGTATTTTAATATAAACCAATATTTCTTTACTAGCTCATCAGGCAGTTATGGGAAATTAATATTATTAAAAATTGTGAGTTAATTATTATAAACATCGGAATGTATATCAGCAAAACTATAATAAGTTTATTGTCTTAAAATTTAAAAGACAGTCATTTTCCCGTGTATTTTTTCACTAGCCATATATCCCCCAAATACTGAATACATCCCTCAGGTATTTTAAAAATCTATTAAACGTTTACCCAAAAGAGAACATCTTTTTCTGTATATCATCTAAAGTGAGCAATTAACATTCTCTTTAATGGTATATTTATACTATTATACATATCACATATATACTATCACTTAAGGACTTAATATGAGCCCTTAAGTAACTGGAGGACCAGTTACTTAAGAAAAACATTCATGTGTTTTTCTTTTCCTGATAAATTGAAGTGATGCTAAATATTATAAAGTATCTTTTGCAAAATTTGTTTTAACATCTATATATGTAACTATATATACATATAGTGAAATTTCTTAAAATAAGATACAGTACATTTTTCAAAAAGTATTGTATAAGAAACTTAGAAACACACAATATAACTGCTTGTAAGAAACTTAGAAACACACACAATATAACCACTTGAATGTCATGTATATTTTCCTTAAGAAATGTAAACGCTGTTATCCCTTTAAAAAGATATATCATAAAATATTTCACAGAAATAAAATATTACTACTTAGATTTTCTTCATGTTCTTAACATTTATTGGACATGTACAATATACTAAGTTGACTAATGTGTTCTTATCTTTTGGAGCATAAAATATAAATTTTACTTAATTGCTTGAATTATGTCATTATTAAATAGAATATAAATCATAAAGACAAAAAGAAACTTATACATCTTTATAATTTGAACAGAAACTGTTCCATATTGCATTTTAGGAAAACAAGTGTGAGATGGTGAAGGAACATTCTTTGCACAGTTTGTAAAATACCATATTTTCACAGAATGCCCTCAGATATTTTGAATTTTGTATATTGATAATACTGTCAAATACAACATTTTTATTCAGTTTGGTTTAGAGTATTAGAATAACACAAATTTCAAATAATCTTTGACATAAAGACACAATGTTAAATGATCTACCTGCCATCAGTATTAGAAAAGAAGCAAACATGTGAACATGCTGATAGCGACTTTCCAGGGTCTGATCCTTTATGAATGCGCCAGTTCTTTTCCAGCCTGATTACTCTGCCATTCACTGGAGCCTATCTTGTCTGGAGCTGTCACGCTTGGTCTTTGACATTAACAATAAGATTAGAGCCAGCACTGACTGTCACAAAAACAGCAGGAGCCTAGAAAGATAGTAGGAAGTTCGCTCGGATGCAATTACATTTAAAGGGAGACCACTAAATCCATACTTACAGAAAATCATTCCCCAGCTTTACTGAGGGGAAAAAAATTACTGAATTTTTACACACTTTAAGTTGACAGCATGAAAGAAGTAAACAATATAATGTGATAGCTATTAGATTGTTAATTGGTTACAGTTAATGCATCTTTGTTCAGGTGTTGAAAATCTCTAAATAAATTTACATAATCCATAATAAGTAAAGAATAATTTAAATTAGCTTAAAGCTTCCCTTTGTGCTTGACAATACATAATTTCTGAACATAAAGCCATGTAAGTTTATACTATCCTTCCTCATTCCCCCATTTATTTGACCAGTGTTTACATCAGAGAAGGAACCATATTCAGAAAATCAACAATATCGGGTCCTTCTTTTTTTAAGCAAACATATTTTTATTTTTAATATCAAAATCTATATATGAGGTTGTTTTTATACTTTATATCCAAATTTTATACTTTATATGAAATAATATTTTTCCTAGTGAGCCTATCTTAACTTGAAGTAATGGTATTGCTTAATATTGATATTTTCTGATAAAATATAATGAATTATGGCAAACTGCCATGGAGTTAATGAGGAATTCAGGATCACACACAATAAGCTGAGATCATTGTAAAAACAATGTTCAAAATAATATTGTCAATACTAATACTAGTTTTTCTTCTTTGTAATGAATTACCACACATTTAGAGGCTTAAGCTAATATACTTTTGTTATCTTATAGACACTACAGGATAACAGGAGTCCAGATGCAGCTTAGTTGGTTCTATGCTAATGTAGTCTGATCATTATTAGATTATTGAGATTAAACCCTCATAATGCTTCAATCAAGAACATTTGCTGGACTGCATTCCTATCTGGAGGCTTGACTGGCAAGAATCTGTTTTCTATATCATTCATGTACTTGGGATAATTTATACTCTGGAAGCTATCGGTGGTGGGGGGTTCTTGCTGGTTACGGGTTGGGGGCACTCACCTCCTCTAGGCCACAGTTTTTTGTCATGTGTTCCTCTCAGAGGCCTTCTTACAAATGGCAACATAAAACTTCCAAGTCAGCAAGGAAGTCTATCTCACTCATCTGCTTAATAGTGAATTTTACATAGTGTAACCCAATAAAGGGAGTAACAGCCCCTCGCTTTTGCCATATTTTGTTCATTAGATGCAATTCACAGCTTCCATCCTCATTCAACAGTGTGACACATTGGTAATCACCAGAGGGTGTGTGCTAAACAGTACTTTTAAAGAAGTTTTGTTTTGTCAAAAGTGATTGTGATTTTAAAATAATAAGAAAGATAAACAAATGGATAGATAGGAGAATTCATCTGTACTCTGGATATGATTGAGTTTTTAGAGCAGAAGAATTTCTAGTTCAGGGAATTTTTGAGGGAAAAGTTCAGCCAAATCTCACAGAGCCATATCTCACAGGTCAGCCATAGTTGGAAGTTTATGTGTTTAATAATCTTTTAAGCATAAAGCATATCATCTTTCAGCATAGGAACTGTGCTGCATTCCATTCGCTTTTCCAAATTTACTCTCCACCCTTTGGTAGCATGTTCTGTGCCTCAGGAAGCTAAACTTTATGGATAGCAGCAATGGAGTCACTGGCTTTCTGATTTCCACTTGTATTTGGCCAAAACGAGACACCTGAAAAAGATCCAAATGAAAGAAGAAAATGAAGTAGAATTCGTATTTTTTTTCCTTTGGATCCCCAAACTCCTAATTGTCAGTTTTTGTACTACTCTTCCTGTTTTGTAGTGACCACTCCTACTTTCTGCTTCTACAGGCCAAAGGATAGTTTCATAAGGTTATTGACCATGCTCTAAGCCCGTGTTAGTTCCTATATATTTATAAATAGTCCTAACGGGAAATACGAGATCTTTGGATATGACTGTTTATTATTCACAGAGTATCTAAGAATCAATTCCCCATGTCACAGTTTTCCATGGGGTGAGATGATAAGAGCCAAATGTTCACCTATTCACACAGTGAGGTTGCACCACTAAAGGAGATCCCAGAAATTATGAGACTCAGAGCTTACACATGGGGGCTGATGGGGGCCTGTCCTCCTTTAGGAAAGAAATCTTTACTCAGGGATGAAAAAAAAAATGATAACTTTTTGGAGAAAAGGTGAAAGTCTCCCTAAAATGTAAGCAAGTTGCTCTGGGAGAGTTAAGTATGTAAATATCCAAAAAGAATGCATAATCTCTAATTTTCAAGTCACGATTGCTGTCAGGCCTCTGAGCCCAAGCCAAGCCATCACATCCCCTGTGACTTGCATGTATATGCCCAGATGGCCTGAAGTAACTGAAGAATCACAAAAGAAGTGAATATGCCCTGCCCCACCTTGACTGATGACATTCCACCACAAAAGAAGTGTAAATGGCCAGTCCTTGCCTTAACTGATGACATTACCTTGTGAAAGTCCTTTTCCTGGCTCATCCTGGCTCAAAAAGCACCCTCACTGAGCACCTTGCGACCCCCACTCCTGCCCGCCAGAGAACAACCCCCCTTTGACTGTAATTTTCCTTTACCTACCCAAATCCTATAAAACGGCCCCACCCTTATCTCCCTTCGCTGACTCTCTTTTCGGACTCAGCCCGCCTGCACCCAGGTGAAATAAACAGCCATGTTGCTCACACAAAGCCTGTTTGGTGGTCTCTTCACACGGACGCGCATGAAAATTGCCATTAAATTATCCCTCAACAAAGTTGACTGTGCTCTTATCAGTGTATACATGGAGATTTCTAACCCAAAACTCTTTATTCAATTTTTTAGCATTTATCTCAAGCTTTTTCTTGCTTGGATCTTGTTTAATACAGCTTTTAAGTAATCAAATTGATATTTGAATATTTCACTCGTGTCCGTGTGAAGAGACCACCAAACAGGCTTCGTGTGAGCAATAAACACACCAAACAGGCTTTGTGTAAGGCAGGAACAGGCCATTTTCACTTCTTTCGTGGTGGAATGTCATCAGTTAAGGCAGGAACCGGCCATCTGGATGTGTACATGCAGGTCACCGGGGATATGATGGCTTAGCTTGGGCTCAGAGGCCTGACAATATTTGTTGAGCATATCATTCCTCTATGACTCCAAAAAAATTGCTGTGAGCAAGGAATAAGGATACCTTACTGTTCTCAAATACACTATTTCTGTTTTAGGAGACTTTCTTTAGTTCAATATCTTAAGCCTTCACCTAGACTATAATAGGAACACAGACATTTTATTTTCCCAACAAAAATATTTTGGAATTTATTTGTGTATAACTATTAGATTTAAAAGTATAAATTAATAGTTATAAATATGGCATTTTATAGATAAATTTTCCATTTATCTTTTATAAAATCCTGTTTACCCTCTTATTTTTCTTTCCAAGAACACAGAACAAATTCATTTTATAGCCTCACTTTGATTTATGTTGGGACTTTATACCTGTTCAATGCAATATGATTGCAATTGATATGACTCAGCTACAGACTTGGTCCATAAAAACAACTTGTTCTATCCTCAGATGTTTCTTCAGCCAGGTGTTTAATATGGCAGTGTCAAAGATGGATGGAGAATAAATTTCTAGATCAACACTGGGAGGATATATACCAAACTGAGTTTCTCTTTAGCTTTGAATTATGATGTAAGTAAGAAAGAAAATTTTATATTCTTAAGCCATTGACATTTGGACTTGTTTTAAAAAAGAGCAACAACTAAATTAAATTACTCTAACTAAACACCAACCTTTTTTATACCACCCTTTATTGAGCAAAACACAAATATATTGACAACACCTATAAAGCTATTATAGATACTGGCAAATTAGTTAGGTCAGGTATTCCTTCAGTTTCAAAAGACCTCAAAATCCACATCATCATCATCATCAAAAACAAAGCAGGCTCCCAAATAGCCAAACACCCTACTTAATTCATATTTTCTCTGAGTAAATGGAAAGGACTGAAAAATCCAAAGCTATCACTTGTATTAGTCTAGACAAGTTTATTCAGATCACTTGAGATGAATACCCCAAACTAAATCTAAATAATTCCACTTCAGCTACAGAATTAAATAGCCTATTTTAATATGGGCTATATCTAATTCTTCCTCATCAATTGTTTCCTTTCTTCTGATATTCTTTCACGTGTGCTTTAATTTGATGTTTCTTTCAGTTTATTACATTAAAATTGAACTACTAGAAACATAGTAAGAATAAATGCAAATTCCCTTTTCCTTTCATAAGAAAACTAATAATTTCCAATTGTATAGTAACCATTAAAGTAGCACTCTAAAATTTTCTGAACAAATGAAATAATTATAATTTTCCCAGAGATAGTTAATTATCTCCAATCCTCAAATATGTGAAATGATAATGTTTTAACCATGAGCTGTTATTCACAAAAAAACGAGAAGGTATATCTTAAGGAACTTACAGTGGAGTGTTTGTTTGCATTTGCTTTTGTTTTTTATGTAAAGGAGACTGACTTCTGGAAAAGGTAAAACCCTAAAGTGAAACAATTCAGCAAAGTATGCGTGCCAATTACAGGAGAAAGAAGTGGATGTGGGAATTTTAGGAGACATGCAAAATATCATCATTAAAAAGAAAACATTGAATGTTTATTGATGAAATTAACATATGTTGTCTGAATCAATGAGCAAGAACAAGACATAAACAAGTGAAAATAGAGTGAAAGAAAATTTAAGAGGCTTTATAGGAAAACTATTTCATGCCAAGATGCTTTACTAGACCATTGAGAGATTTTTCCAAAAGACATGCAATGTCACTATTGAAACCTTTGAAGATAGACAACAGAAGCTCCTCCAAGCAGTTCTTTAATATACATCCCTTTGTAAATGCTATTGACAACATTATTGCTCTGAATAATGTTCTGACGAGATGCTCTGGATCTCCTTGTTTTCCTTTTTCTTTAAAGATATTATTGGCATTTTACCCACTTTGTAGACATAATTAATTATCCCTCCAAAATAAATGAAGTTAAGTGTGTTTTCATTTTAATGAATGCTCTTAATGTTTTTCCCAGTGATGTGAGAAGTATGGAGAAAAAGTTCTGAGTAAAATTGAAAAACACAATTTAATTAACACATATATTTAGTAAAATTGTTTTTAATATTTATATGCAATTTCAAACTATATATTTTTGTTTAGCAATTGTGAAGCTCAGTCTATCACTCTCCCCTGGAAATATTTTTAGACCTCAACGTCTATGATTTCTGTGAGGTAAAGTATCTCTGAGCAGATAACTGAGTGAGGGTAACTGCCAAGCTTATATCTGGGGGAAGAATCCACAAAGAAGTAACAGTAATTTCAGATCTCAAAGTAATATTTGAAGTAGATGCTTGGCCTTTCTCAGAAACTGGGAGAAAAAAGAAATGCCAGAGTCTCTAGAACAAAGTCAGTGAGTGGGTGAGTCATAAAACACACAGAGTCAGATTAGCTATTAATTTCTAGATCTTGGTAAGGATACCGGATTTTATTCTGAGACAGAATTGTTGATAAGATTTGAGTGGAGATACACTGGATTCCATATGCAAAAGTGAGACTGTAGAAAGGCAAGAATGCTTGTGAAGAGGGCAGATAAAAAGATATAATCCAGAGGAGAGATGCTTCCTGGAACTAAAAGTGATTGCAGTAAGTATACAGTAAGAAATGGTCTATATCTTTATCTATAGATGATTGATAGATAGATGGATAGATAGATAGATAGATAGATACATAGATACATAGCGAGAGAGAGAAAGAGAGAGAGAGACAAACATACATACATACATATATGTATGTATAGCTACCCCAGCCTCTCAAAGTTCTGAGATTACATGTGTGAGCCACCATGCCCAGCCTGACAACTTGGTTTTGAGTAGAGAAATTAAGCAACCCTAAAGAGTATATGAGGATATGAGGATATAAGAAATTTTGTTGCTGACAGAGTGCTAGATCTCTATCTAGAGATACATCCAGATCTGTTGCTAGAGTTCTAGATCTCTATCTAGAGATAGATCTGACAGAGATAGATCCAGAGGGATCAGTGGAAGGTCTGGTGTTAACTCTGTAGGATGAGACAATGAGCCAACTCAAGAGGTATAGCTAGCTGTATAGAGATGAGAATTTTTTAGGGCAATTGAGGCCTGATAGGGGTAATCACCATAGTCTCTAGGAAAGACATGCTTAATCAGTTAACATTGTTTTCTTTATTGGCACTAATATCTTTGGCAGTGTTTAGTAAGGAGATGGTGAGTTATGGAGAAAGGGGAAGAATGTTGAGTTCCTCAGTGCTGAGGAGTATGATATAGTAAGGTTGAGGTTTTGTTCAAAATCAAAAAGTAAAAATTAATTAAATTTCAAAAAAATGTGAAAACAATTTCAGATAACTACTGATATAATTAGGAAATAACAGTAGCTATATGTCAAATTTTAATATATTGATATTACTTATTTTGCTTTATTATGTTGTTCTTGCAATACTACTCCAAAGTAGCAGCCTACGTATTTCTCCTTTTTCCTCTGTTTCACCCACTCTTTTTCTCTCTTCCTTTCATTAGCCTTTGAGCTCCTATTGTGTGCTAGGTCCATTGCCAGGCCAATTAGGACATAAATTAGAGCAAGTTTTTACTTTTTCTAAAGCTATTATTCTCCTGGCGAAAATAAATTTATGTGAACCAGAAATTCTAGATAGCTTATAGTATTGGTAATCTAAAGAGCTATACTACATATGGAAGAAAGAAAGTGAATCCAGTATTAACTTGGTTGAAGAGAACCAAATAAAACTTTATCTGGCTGGGCAGTGGAAAATAGGTCACACCTAAATTGGTTTATGTTGGGTGATTAGGGGCTACAAAGGTAAATTGAAGTAGATGAAAGGCAGAAAAGTAATTTGCCCAATTTTGCTGCAGCCAAAACACATCTGTAAGGAAACTTTTTGTAGAGCTTTGTCTTTGAGAAATAGATTTGCAGAAAATGGTCACACTACATTTTTCCTTTAACAATTTTGCTTTCTTGTGGGCTAGTATTCTGGCTAGTATGCTTATATTGTGAATCCCTCTCAAACTTGTTGCTACCGTTAGTTCTGCAAAATTATCATGGTTTTAATGGACACAAGAAATGAGGAAAATTAAAGCAATCCCTATTCTGTCCTACATTCAGAACAATGTGGTTGTGCACTAGCAGGCACAAAGAAAAAATTGGCACTTCTACAATTTTACAAACTAAAGTTAGCAAGGGTCAATATATCTGTCATTTCTTTTAATTTTAGTTATGAGGAAATTGAAAGCTGAACAGCAGTAAGTACGTTGTCTATATAGGCACAACTTTTTAGCCCAACATTAGTATGATCCTTACAAAAGCAAAAATTTATTGAGGGTTACTAAGAGCTAGTCACTGGGCTCTATATAATAGTTACCTTTTAAGTATTCAATGTATCTTCCATTATACTACACTAACAAACAAATTGCATTAATGCATGTTTGTTCTAATACAATAGAAATTCATGCATTTGGAAGGAATTTCAAAATACCAAAATATTAAAAAAGAACAGGTCAGGAATTTCTTTATCTTTTGATGTAATATAATAATCTATAAGAGCAAAATCCGTTTTAAAGTTTGATATAAAATTGTGTGGAATGTTTTATAAAGTTAACATAAAGGCCATGAAAATTTTATCTTAAATATACTTTAATTTATAAATTTATTGATCATGTTAATTAGTAGCAGGCTACGAAATATTGTTAATTCCTGAAAATTTAATTTCCCACAATTCTAAATTACTTTGGAAAATAAAGGAAGGTCATTTTAACTAAGTTTTAATGTTACAATGCCTCTTGAAAGAATATTTATCTTTCAAACACTGGAATCAAATTGGATTGTTTAACCTATCTTTGTTAAATTTAATAGTACCTACATCTAATTTGCATATGTTATCTTTACCTTTAATTTTAAACAGTAGCCAAGTAACACAGCCTGAGTCAATGCAATTGCCATTTATTATATTACAGTTTAATCTCTAATTTGCTCTTCTTTCTAAATCATATTTGTACATAAATTATTAACTGTCAACTATTTTCACAACTATTCTAAAGTTCTAAGGTTCATGTAGACATTTATTAATCATTTTCCAATCATCTGATTTTTGTTTTATTCATCTATCCTACATGTTATTTCTTCCTTTAAATATTTTTGTTCCTATTTTTATCATTTTATTTTATCTTACTTATTTGATTTTATTCTGTTACTCAAGCTTCTTGAGCTCAAGATGAGTTAACGAAGTCATCTTTAATATTTGTTCTTAGTTTTTAATACACGCTTAAATAGGTGACATTGTGTCACTCAGGTTCTTTTTGTAGTGTTTTAGTTGCTTTTACATTTTAATTATTTTGTAATTTCTTTGTATTTCATTTAGCACAAATGATTTTCATACTATATTTTTACTTTTGAGATACATGTTTTTAAAATAATCATTTGATTATTTATTTCTAATTTAATTGCATTTACCGCTAGAGACTATAATCTTTTATGGATTTTTTGGAGGCTTCCCTCAGGAGCTAATACACATTTGACTTTTTAAAGTATTCTGCTTGTGATGTAAATCTTGTAGGTTTTTCTGTTTGTTTTTTATATTTTATTTTGTGTTTCATCAATGTTACATACTACAACATGAATATATCATGTAAAACATTGTTGACTGGGTCAAACAATGTTTTAAATGTTTTGTGTTTATATAAAACACAAAAGTTTAGATAAATAATTTTGTATAAATATAAATGGATATTTACAAACTCCATAATAATTATTTTATAGATATACAAGTATCTCTAGTGATATATATCACAGAAGTGTCCAAAGTAAGAACAGGAATTTTACGTGTATGAGTTTCTGTGGATACCCTACCATTTAAAGAGAAAACTATCTTCTGTATCTCTCTCTGCCTCTTTGTTTTTACATACACACACACACACACACACACACACACATGAATGAGTCTGCATATGGATATAAAAGAAAATAAGATTAGCAAACAGACAAAAATACAACAATTATAGAAACAGGACATTGTATGCACTATCAAAATCTATTAAGTTTTACCTGTATTCTTTACAAATGAGGGACCAAAAACTCAGTGATGTGAAAAAAAATTCAAAGCTACCTAGACAAAAGTATTTAAAACAGTATTCCGATGTTCATAGTTTTAATTTTGCATCATATTTTATAGGATCCAACAACACTCTAATCTATGTTTTGGTTATAAAATGATGTGGTTGTTCCTGTATGTGTTTGCATTCGTATCTGTGTAAATCGCAGCTCAGAAAATTTTACATGGCTATTCCACAGAGAGGCTTCATTCAATTTTCTTCCGACAAATTGTTTTAGCATTGTACAATGTTAAGTGAAAGGACTCTTTTGATATTGTGAACCTGAACCACAGGGGTGAAATTGATAACTGTAGTCAATATTTATTTTGCCAAAATGTATGATGACCTAAGCTTTCTAGTATAATGCCAAAACAAGATGAAAGGTGCCAAGTATTAGACTCTTGGAAACACTGATACTTGGCAACATTTTAGAATATTTTTAGTGATTATTTCCCTTGGAAGCAATAGAAGTAGTTATTGCTCACATAAAATTAAACAAGAATTTTAAAACTTGATTGTGTCTCATAATCTTTGCAGTAATCTCCGTATTATCCAGAAGAGCAAAAATAAGGACTAGGAAAGCCTACTAAATTTCCCAATATCCCAAGACTAGTTAGTGAAAGGGCAATTTTTAAAAACACTTTTATGGTACCCAGGCTTGTGTTCAGAGCCTCTTTATAGTAATACTGTGCTATACAAGTAACTACTTTTACAAATTTTAGGACTCTAACACAGAACTCAATTAATAAGTCTTAATATAATTCACTTGTTATATAAATTATGCCCAGTTTCCAAATACACTTGGCATTCGTATTTGTATCTGACATCAAAAAATTTATTTCCCAAAAGTATGTCATTCCATTTATCTTTTCTTTTTACCTGATTTTTTGGAAAGTAAAATATAACAAGGAGTCTATTGTCTAGGCTCACGGTATCTAAAGTGTTCTTTCAATTAATAGTGTATAATGCTAAGACAAATTGCCAGCAGAAAAATGAATCCTTTCTGAACAAATTCAAGGCATTAAAAATTTTTGAAAACAAAATTGCCAGTTTAAACACTTTGTTTACCATAGACATTTTATTTATAGAAATATTCATGACTTAGGTAGTTACATTTTATTTATTCTTGATACTGCTACAAACTATTACTGTAATTGAAAATATTTAATTTTAATTAGCATATTTTCATATTTAAAATATATATAATATCAATATGACAAATATTTACTAGTTGTAAAATAACTGTGGACAAGTGTGAATATATTAGTTAAAATATAGTATTGTGAATATTAATATATAGAACAAATGCTAACATTCCTCCAAATTATCAACTAAAAAAGGTCACTTTTTTAGTTACAAATTAGTAAATAGAAAAAAAAAAAGTAGATTTTATTCCAGTAATTATGTAACCCAGTATTTAGACTAAGAAATTATGAAGCACATATTTATACTCTATTGTTGCTTACAGTAGAAAATACTCAAGCTTTCTTGAAATATATTTTTGAGCATTATAAATTCCACTATGGTACCACAAATAATTGTACAAAAAATTATAATTATGTTTTTGCATTAAATATTTACAGATTATTTAAATTAATTTCAATAAATTTTAAGTGCAATGTTAGTAGAAATTGAAATAAAAAAGATAAAAATTCTTCACAAACCTCATTAGGGATTCCTTTCCATATATAAGCTACAACTTTAAAAGCTATTTGGAACTTAAGTTCTTTAATTTATAATTTAATATTTTTAAATGCTGAAGGATTGATTTGCGCTGATTTTAATATTTTATGCACAAATTAGTTCTACATGTTTACATTCAGTATGTTTATTGTTTAACATGTTATATGACTACATTGAAAAAATAATCCCATTGGACTTCTTCCCCACATTATTCCCAACCTTTTAAAATGCAAACACTGAAATGATGCCTTCCATTAAACAGTATAGACAATCTTCTGCCTAGAGGAATATTATATCTACATTTTTAAATAAAGTAGCACTCAAATGTTAGAAAGTTTTGTCACAAAGTGCCACTTCAAGGTCAACAGTGGATAAACATAAATGGTGACAGGTTTTGCTGTATATATGGCTTAAAAATATCAGTGAATCACCGATACCTCTTTCTCTTTGCACATACATGGTGAATATGATGAGATGTATACACATCTTTATGAAAATATCTAAAGGAAAGCATAGAAAGTGCTAACATTTCATGGAAATCTCCCCTTTAATCATTTTGGGCAAGGAAATGTTTCCTTTCTTTATTTCTGTCAGGTTTCCTTTTTCCAGCTGAGATGGCAAATTTTTTCTTTTGCTCATTTCAAATTATCAGAAGTTTGTTAAAATTATCAACCTGGTATGAAGCCTAATTTAATGTATTTTTTTTGGTGGTTGAGGGGGAGAATTATTTTATTTTATTGTTTTAAGTTGCCCCAAGCTTTGAAATATTGGAATGAAGGAAGCTGGAACGTATATTGAGAACCTGCTGAGTATAGGGTCAGAGATGTGAGGGAATAATAACTATAAATTGCGATATCTTGAAAATTGAACAGAGAAAAAAAGAACAAAAATACATTACCTCACTTTTTCCATATTAGTAATATTGCAAGGGCTTTTTTTTTTTTCTTTTTCTGTTTTACCTACAGGGAAAGGGAAGGATATAGTACAGCCTCATTGTAATATCTTCATCATTAGTCTCTTTGTTCTCTGATATAAGCAATTGAATTTTTCATAACTCAAGTCAAATATAATGCAAAAGCAGTTTCTAGAGAATTCCCCTAATTATGACACCTTCCTTGCCCACTTTCAAAATGTTTGCCAATATGAAACTTCTCTTCTGCAGAAATCTGCATCTGAAAGGCAGGCTTTAATTTGCCAGGTGGTCAGTTTGAAGCCACACAGTCGGCTATTTGACCTTTTGGTCAAGCACATCAGTGTTCATATATTCTAATTAAGTAAATTTTATTATTATCATGTTATAGCATGCCTTCTGCTCAACTGCTTTCAATTGTCTACACTGCCCTACATGTCACTGAACTAATCTGCTATTTCCTAGAAGACCATAAACTTTACTGGAGCCTGGTGCAGGCAACTCAAGAGTACAGACTAACATATTTATTTACAAAGTACTGCATCCATATTACAGTCTTTTACTCTCAAACAACAGACTACTATGGAGTAGTGCTATTTGCCTTTGAGAAAAAAAAAACTGTAACTTGTTATCATTTATCTAACTTTCTTCACTTAGTTTTTTTACTTAAGCTCTATTTAGTAACCTAAACAATTTAAATTAAATATTTTAAAATCTAATTTTGTAATTGGAAAAATATATTTTTCTTTTCTTTTCTTTTTTTGCTAAGGTCTTTCACTCTGTAACTCAAGCTAGAGTGCAGTGGTGCCATCTCTGGAGGCTGAGGTGGGAGGATCACTTGATTTCTAGAGGTCAAGTGATCCTCCCACCTCAGTCTCCCAACTAGCTGGGACTATAAGCATGTACCACCACACCTGGCTAATTTTTGTATTTTTTTGTAGAGATGGGGTTTTGCCATGTGCCCAAGCTGATCTCAAATTCCTGGGCTCAAAGAGATCCGCCAACCTCGGCTTCCCAAAGTGCTGGTACTACAGGCATTTGCCACCATGCCCAGCCACAAAAACAATTTTCTAATCAAGAAATGAGTATGTGTAATTTTATATGGAGAGCTTTATACCAGTATTATGCATCAATTTAAATAGACATGTACTAATATTTGGTTTCTAATAAATTAGAAACCCAGTGTGCTATAGATATATCTTGCATTTCAAAGTTATTTTTTCCTAACTTGCTTTGAATTAACACTTTTAAAAAATGAGCAGTATTCATATAACTCCTATTAAACATTTAGAAGTCAATATAGTATATTATAATAATAAAGGCAGCAACAAATCTAATAACAGCAAAGAACTGCCACAATGCTTATGCTGTATCATGCAATCACCTACGTGTTACATATGTCAGCAGTGTGTATATGTACACACTCATTCACACACATGCATATATATACACATACATACATACACATATATATATAGTTTTTTATTACTTTGCAATGTATTCTTGTGGGCTTTTAAAATCGATCAGAAAACATCGATCAGTAAAAACAAAATCATTTTCTAAAACTAACATGCAACTCATCAAAGCAGTGCTTTGAGTATTACAAAAGCAAAAACATATAATTTGAAAACAGTTAAATATCATGGATTTTTTAATGAAAATATTTTAAGTCTTTATCTACCAAATAGAGGGCTTTATTTTTGGAAGATCAACGGTTAAACGTAAAGATACTTAATTCTTATATATTTGCTTATTTTTTGCAGGTTACTGTATATCTGATTAAAATTACTTATGTTTTTCATATTCATCCCACCACCATCCAAAGGACACAGAGGAAATAACATTATAAAGATGGAGGTCACTGCAATTATGCACCATGACTTCAACCATTATGGTACAATTTCACAGTAAAGCATTCTCTTGTTCCAGGAGAAAGACATCTCCCTGATACTACAACACCTTCAGCCTAGAGAAACTTCACAGAAGCAAGATAAGACTCCACAGAAGAAGCTTTGTGTACTTCTTGGCCATCACACTACCATAAAGTAGAGGAGAAATCAGTTTCTGTCCTACTCTCCCACCTCACTTGCCAAATATCTTAAGAGTGAATTTATCCAAACCTAATTTTTTGATTATCTTAATTACTCCCAGAAGATCAAGCTCTCAATCATTTTTGTCCAGAGTCTCATTACTCTGCTGTTTCATATTGTTTAATCTGACCCAGTTTCCCAACTTCCTTTGCCCTACACTACATTCTAGAATTAATGGTTTATTTTCTAACAATAAAATGTTTTTATTTTTAAATTCTTATATCCTTCATGATTCCTCTGTGTGTTTCTAGTGGAGACTCAAGATCTGATGATTTATTTATCCTGTAACACTCTCAACTGGAGAATATTTTTTTTCTCTCTTTGAATCATATACTCCAGAGCTTGCAGGTGAGGTATGTATCTTCCTTGCTTTCATTGCCATTTCCAAATTACTCATCCTAAACATTCTTTTGGGAGCACATCTCCTTTGTGGTTTATATCATGAGATTTCCTACCTCTAACCCTTGAATTGGGTCTTTGATGATCTCCCAACATTTCCTCCTCAGTTTTGATGTCTTTATTAACTGGCACTTTTCTACCACTACTATTTCTGAAGGAACACATACCCTCCATTTCACATTTTGGTCTCACACACATGTAACCTTTTGACTTTAGAGGTCAGCCTATTCCATTTCAACTCGATTTCACAGTCATATTCTTCTGAGCAACCTGTTTTATGACCATAGACGCCTATCCTTCCAGGTTGTCTATTGTATTATTTTCACGCCTACAAATATCCCATGTCATTTAGCCTTTTTACTTTTTTGACCCCCACCACTTACTAAACCATCAATAAACTGCTTCATATTCTGACTTCTCTTTACTTAAGATTGAATCAATTATCTTTCATTAAGATCACGCTCTTGGGCCGGAAGCATTGGCTTGCGTCTGTAATCCCAGCGCTTTGGGAGGCCATGGTGGGCAGATCACCTGAGGTCAGGAGTTCGAGATCATCCTGACCAACATGGTGAAACTCCACCCCTATTAAAATACAAAAAATTAGCTGGGCGTGGTGGGGTGCTCCTGTAATCCCAGCTACTTGGGAGGCTTAGTTGTAAGAATCGCTTGAACCCGGGAGACAGAGGTTGCAGTGAGCCAAGATCATGCCACTGCACTCAGCCTGGGTGATAGAGCGAGACTCCATCTCAAAAAAAAAAAAATACTCTCTTGGAAATACACCTAGAGTAATCACATTTTTCTACCTCTCCGTCCCACTCACTTGGCAAAGCCCCAACACTAGTTAGCCCAACTCTCTGTAGCTGAAATTCATTGGAAAAAAAAAAAAAGACAAATCTGATGAATCTACTTTTAAAATTATGGACACAGATCTCAAACAAACACTCCACACCAACCTGGCTGTCTAAAAATGGCATTATTCAAATTACTGCATTACACATTTTCTCTATTTTCAAAATTCTTCTCTTTCCATTCCCTATCAATAAAGCTCTGAAAACCAAAACACAACCCAAAGTCCTTTAAGCAGATATTTTATTGAAAAATGGTAAATAGAATCAATTTGACAGGAATTTTCTGTTCCACAACATCAAAATGCCAACTGCCTAAATCTTTGCTTTGTCATCATTTATAATGGAAGTTCACCCCAGACCAATTAGTGACTTATTTTTACCTTAAATGATATGTAAAACATTGTTCTCAGACATTGACCCCAGGAAAGTTTTATAGTATGCTCAAGGCAGCACAAAGTAGAAACACTAACGGGATGAGTTATATGACTCGTGAAAAATGACTAGCAGTTTATCAATCAGGAGAAGGGAAAAGGGCATTCTAAACATAAAATCCAAAGTTCTGAAAATGAAAGAGCTTGTTTCTTAGCAAAGTTAGTTGTTATGCCTTGGTAGATTAAAATGTGTGTGTCTGCATGTGTGTGTGTGTGGAGAGGGGCTGTGTGGGAGAAATTTTTAACCAATTTTTTTCTGTTGCAGATTTAAGATGCAGCCAAAATATATAATTTTGCCAGTAGAAGAAAGCTGTACCAGGAAACAAGTGGCTACCTCTACACAGAACTAGTTCTTCTCTGGCACCATCCAATTCTAGATATTAAGCCTGAGTGACCTGTGCATATGCTACACCAGGGGTCCTCAACCTAGGGACAACAGACACATACCAGTCCTTGGCCTGTCAGGAACTGGGCCGCACAGCAGGAGGCGAGGGCGGGCAAGCGAGTATTACTGCCTGAGCTCCAGCTCTTGTCAGACCTTCGTCGCATTAGATTCTCATAGGTGCGTCAACCCTATGTGAACTGGACATGTGAGGGATCTAGGTTGCGCACCCCTTATGATAATCTAACTAATGCCTGGTGATCTTGTTACCGATGGAGGGTGTCCAGGTTCTCGGCATCTTGAACAAAGAACTGGACAAAATGCACAAAGAAAGAAAGGAAATAATGAAGCAACAAAAATAGATATTTATTGAAAATGAAAGTATATTCCACAGGGTGGGAGTGGGCCCGAGTATATGGGCTCAAGATCCCCTTTACCATATTTGTGGGGGTTTAAATACCCTCTAGAGGTTTCCATTAGTTAATTGGTGTACGCCCTCTGGAGAGGACATTTCCTGTGATAGCTGACGTGTGAGTTGGCCTTCTGTTTCTTGCCTCCAGACCCTGTTTTCCTGCCTCAGTCTGAGGAGGAAGTTTCATTCCAAAACATTGCCCCCAGACTCGTGAAAAAATTGTCTTCCAGGAAGCCTGTCCATGATGCCAAAATGGTTGGGGACCGTTGTTGTACACCATCCTCGATGATAAGGACCCTCTTAGCACCTCTGGTTTTCTTTCATCCCAGCGGGCTAATTGTCTTTTAAATATCCAAAGAAAATAGGTTAGGATGTCATTTTTATTTTACAAGAAGACTCTTTTCCTCTATGTAAAGGTTTCAACATCTGCTTATGAAAGGTAAGAAGACAACTGGTCTTTGGCAAGGAAAAAAAAGAAATATTTATATACATATATAAAAATAGGAAATAGATGCTTTTAAATTAATACTATTAGTAATATGTAAATTAATATCTAATTTAGCTGCCAGATTTAATGCAAATTATGTGAATTATAACATTTAATCTGCACAAGACTTCAGGTAGAAACTATTTTTATTCATATATATATGTACGTATTACTGTGGCTAACAAGAGCAAAATGACTGGGCTATGCCTTACTGTTTAACTTAGTTAAGAATTGAGAAGATAATTTTTAACCAAGTCAGCTGTCTCTGAAGGCCATGCTGTAGAGCAACTGCGTATGGCCTCCACCAGAAAAAGGAGTAATTAGCAATTTAGATAGAAGTTTCTCATTGGGTAGCATGCATAAAGATCAGTTTCAGTAAATATTCTACTACATTTATATATTTTAGTAAAATATATTTATATATGATTTAGAATATAAGCCAAAAATTATGGTTTCTATCATTCAATATAGTTGAAAGTTCTAATTGATACAGTTTCTCTATGTCCTATCTCTTCATATCATTAAACAATTATTCAAATAATCAAGCTATTATTGACACATACAACCAACCAATGAAAAAGGGTAACTCAATACAATTAGGTAAACTCATTTTTGCACATATGTTGTTGATTGACAAAAATTTCATGAAGCAATTATTTAATAAATACTCAGCTATGAAACACAACATACCTATACATTTTCTAACTAACTCCCTGTAGAACACTCAATTTGCCTGACTGGGGATGTGGAAATTATGTGGAATAATATGTTTGTTACAGTCATTTCAAGTCTTATAAAGATAAGTTGCTCTTAAAGACTGCTTTAGAATTATCAATACTTCTGATTTAAAACATACATACACAAGTACACATACAGACACACACACATGATTATTATAGTTACATGTTGCTGCTAACACATCATCCCAAAATTTGTGTCTTAAAAAAAACAACTTTTATGATGCTCCTGATTTGTGGACCAGGAGGGATCCAGGCAAAGTTTGGCAGGCAATTCTTCTGCTTTACCTGCTCCACATGCTTTACTGAAGGGACCTGGTCGTTTTTAGCTGGTAGCTTGGCTAGGCCGGAAGTTCCAAAGAGGCTTTACTCATATGTCTCCCACATTGGTATGGATACCTGGAGGCTGGGATCAGTTGAGCTGCTTTCTCTGTCAATTATTTGCAGAATTTTTCTATGCGATCTTACGAGCAGCAGAATAGAACTTATTACACAGCCTTTCAGACTTTCAAGAAGAAGTGTTCCATGAAAGAAGAACCTGAAGATCCCCTTGTCTGGGCCTGGAAGCTGTAGCAGGATCACTTCTGCCACTTGGTATTAGTAAAAGTAGTCCCAGTCTTTGTCTAGATTCATAGCAAGGTGAAAGACCCATCTCTCTGTCTTAATTGACATAATTTTATGTATTTACTGTGTACAACATGAAGTTTTGAAGTATGTATGCTTTGTGGGATGGTTAAATCTAGCTAATTAACAAATGTATGATCTCACATAGTTATTACTTTTGTGATGAGAACACTTAACATCCACTCTTTTTGTATTTTTCAAAAATACAACATATTGTTTTTAACTATAGTCACCACACTGTACAATGTATCTCTTGAACTTATTCTAACTATCTCACTATAAATATATGTGCTTTGGCCAATATCACCCATACCCCTCTCCCTAAAAGCTCCAGCCTCTGATCACCATTTTATTCTTTATTTTTATGAGATCAACTTTCCACTTCTTGATGTGTATTTAAAGGAAGTTAGAGCTATCTTTAATTCACCAAAATAAACAAGAAGCTGAGTAACAAATTAGTAGTAAGATATAGTTTATATTATATTTTTATTAAGTATATTTCCACCTTGTTTTTAACCAATAGAATCTGAGCATAAATACGTGTATATAATTATATATCAAAGCATATACTTTTCTTAAATTATATTAAATACCCTCATTGCATACAAGAAGGAGCTTTTTTATTTGTCATTGTAGGTTTGAGTCATTTTGCTGTGACATAATTTTGAAAATCATGACTTTTATTTAAAATTATTAACTTTATACATTATTTCAAGAAAAGTATATTTATGCATCTATCAAATTATTTTGTTTTTAGATGCATAATTTTATTTAAAATAAGTTCCTATTCATATGTTTTTATAAATTCAGGTTTTCAAAGCACATTGGTATTTTATAATAATATAATTTTTGGCCCTAATAATGATATTTAACTTTGCATTATTTCTAAAACCTTCATAAGATCTTCAGTGAAATTATTTGTAGTAGCCTCAAAAATACAGCTATATCCTTCTTCCTCTAATTTTGTGAAGGAAGGAAATTATTTAGTTATCAACCAAAAGCAATGGAAGCTTCCGTAAATCATTTCAATTTATAGGCATCTTTTGACATTTATAAAGCAAATAAAGCAAAAATATCTGCTGACAGCAGACCAGAATTACTTTATTCTGAGTGGTAAAATTAACATTCAGGCCAGTAAATGGAACTTTTAGTTACAATCCATTAATATGTTCTTAAGCATTTTTTTAAACAGATATCTATGTACAAGAGAGACAGCATCAGCTTCTGACAGCTGTCCCCTCTATGCTTTCCGTAAACAGAAAATGAAGCAACATCCCACTCATTCTCTCTGGAAAGACAGCTTTCAGAGCTTTATGCAAATAACATGACCCTCTAGCTGTGGCACATTCTTCAAAAAGACACCTACCTTCAAAAGTGACAGCAAGTAATAATGTGACAAACGAGCATGCAGCCTGCACATGTGCCACATATTTCACCTAGAATCCTTGGATGTGATAAAATTAACGTGACCTCTATCGCCAAGGACATTATAATCAATTCAACAATGTGGCACAGGAAAAGCAGAAATCGTGGGGGCTATGTCCTCATTCAGCAGCTTTTAAATAAAGCTTTTTAAAGTCAATTGGCCTTTTTATTTTATTTTGCTTTATTTTTTGGCAGAGATACATTGACTTATAGGATTTCCATTGTCTTTATTAAGGGAAGATGGCACCATATTTGCTGACAGTTGGGAAGAAAGAGAGGTTACATATGATATACTTGAGTAATTAGAGTGTAGGTAGGTAATATAAAACTTTAATGAATATTGATATTGAGATTAAAGATCTTGGCTTAATGTTAGTGTAGCCTGCTCTACGTTTTGTTTTGTTTTACAATTGATTTTTTCCCTTTTAAAAAGAGAAGACAAATGATGCATCTTTTTCTTTTTTATTGATGAGCGAATTATGCAAAGAAGTATAATAAAATATTTCCAACCGACTTTGCAAAATAGGTAAAGTATAAATGAATTGTTTTCAGTGTACCCACACAGGAGTGCAATACACACCCCATGAGAGCTTTATTGTATCTTAATTGTAGCAACTAAATTTAAGAAAAAACCATAGGGCACTTTTAAAATCTGTCTTGATGGGTTTTTGGCAAGAATTAAAAAGTTCTAAACAAAAATAATCTTTGTGGTGTCAAGCTGAGACTAGGCTACCAACTGATACGGACATCAAAATGCTGCAAAAGTAGATTTAGATGTTTGCTTATAATTATTTTGGAGCCACTGAATAGGATCATATATTTTAATAATTTATATTCAGTGTTCATAGTTATTTAAGATGTGTGGAAAATAAATAAGAACTAACAAACAATATGATTATATGTCTACTGATAAGGTTGGGAAAAAAAGTAAATTGAGTTCATCATACATAAAAATATATTCATAACACAAACGAAAAGCATTTGATCCCAGCTGCAAAATAGTACATTTTCTCAATCTGGCCATATTTTTTATGTTAAACATATACATGTAGTAATTACATATGTTGACATATTCATGTAGTAATAAACAGAAAAAAGCATAAGATGTAATTATTGTTCCAATATGGCATCCCATGTTAGAAGAAGTTATATATACACTCTGAGAAAATAAGTTAGTAGCTTAGAAATAAATTCTTAATATTGCATTTAAAGGCCAAATGGTCTTTGCTATTATAAATTTCAAAAAAAAAGGAAATATAAAGTTTTCCTTTATTTCACAAAGAAGCTCATCTCTTCAAGTGTTTCCAATTACACATAAGAAAAGCTTTGGGCATACTAAGGAGATTTGCTCACTTTATAATCCTACCTGTATTTATAAAACTATAAGCTATTTCAAAGATTAAGAAGCATACAAAATTGTGGCTGTTTCCTCAATATTAGACTTAATATGCATTGAATCTGGTATTTTTAGTTTATTATTAATTTATCTTTATTTTTATCAAAGTTATGCCTGTAAAATGAGTAAAAACAAATAGTTCTTCATAACTTACTTGGAGAAAAGTAGTCCTCTGCTTCCTTTCAGTCATGTGTTCTGTGTGCCCCAGAGGCAGACACTTTCGATTATGTTCATTGTTCAATTTGGCATTAACCATTTGTCCCTAAATAATAGGTTTATAATTTCTAGGTTGGTGCAAACACAATTACGATTTTTACTGTTAAATATAATTTCAAAAACCACAATTACTTTTACACCAACCTAATACTTCTTTATCTCTCAGTATTAGGCAATTTTCAATTATTTGTAGTTTGGGTATAAAGATTTATTTCTCATTTCACAGCAATTCTGAAACATATGCATGGAGCCCTGCTATATCTTCCCATTAAAATTGTGTTATAAATTTTATACAATCAATATTTAATTTTAAATGGTGATGTAGAGTAGACACTAGTCACAACTGATTCACTGTGATTCACTAGGTAAGCACTGTTCTACAATTGAAAGCTAGTGCATTTATTTGTATTCTTTAACGTAAAATAATTTTTATTTTAATGCTGATTTAGCTTACTGTGTACTCATTTTTTAGTACATGAATGTTTGTTTTGGTGGAGATATTGAAAGCATGAAAAGCAAATTCATATCCTGAGTAAATGTCTATTCCAGTAAAAATAAATAGCTGTGCCTTCCCTGATTGAAGTGGTTCGATATAATCACCCTGTCACCAGGTAACTGGCTGATCACCCCAAAAATGGTGCCATATGAGAGGGCTCAGAATTGGTCTCTGCTGCTGGCAGATTGGGCATTCAGCAGTGGCTTTAGCCAGGACAGCCTTGTTAACTTGAAGTCTATATTGCTGAGCCTGTACATAATCGTCCTCTCTGCAACCATGTCTGCTTTGTTAATGTTTTTTTGGGATGATGTCTTTTCCCCATTGTTTTTGTCAGCCTCGTCAGAGATTAGATTATTTCTTGGTGTGTGCCTTTATTTCTGGGTTTTCTGTTCTCTTTCATTGCTCTATGTGTCTGTTTTTGTCCCAGTGCCACAGTGTTTTGGCTACTGAACCTTAAAGTTTAGTTTGAAGTCAGGTAGTGTGATGTCTTCAGCTTTGTTCTTTTTGCTTAAGATTGCTTTGTTTATTTGAGTTCTTTTTTGGTTTAATGTGAATTTTAGCATAGTTTTTTTTTTTTTAATTCTATGAAGAATGATGTGGGTTGTTTCACAGGAATAGTATTGAATCTGTAAATTGCATTGAGCCATTTGATGACATTGACTCTTCAAATTCATGAACATGAAATATTTTTCCATTTATCATTGTTGTCTCTCATTTCTTTCAGTGGTCTTTTATAGTTCTCTTTGTAGAGATATTTTACCTACTTAGTTAGATGTATTCCCGGGTAATTCATTATATTTGTGGCTATTGTAAATGTGATTGTGTTCTTGATTTGAACTCACCCTGGATGGTATTGGTGTGTAGAAACAGTACTGATTTTTGTATATTTATTTTGTATCCCGAAGCCTTGCTAAATTCATTTATCAGTTCTGGTAGCCTTTTGGATCTTTCTTTAGGGTTTTCAAAATATAGGATTATATTGTGAATGGAGAGGGAAAGTTTTTCTTCTTCTCCTATTTGAATGTATTTTATTTCTTTCTCTTACCTGATTACTCTGGCTAGGACACTCAGTATTATGTTGAATAGGAGTAATGAGAGTGGGCCTCTTTGTTTTGTTGCAGTTACCAAAGAAAATTATTCCAGCTTTTGCTCATTCAGTATAATGTTGGCTGTGGGTTTGTTATAGATGGATCTTAACATTATGAGGTATATTCCTTTGCTACCTAGTCTGTTGAGAGTTTTTTTTATTATGAAGAGATGTTGAGTATTATTAAAAGTTTTTTTCTGCATCTATTGAGATAATCATACAGTTTCTGCATTAATTCTGTTTATGTGGTGAATCACACTTATTGATTTGTGTATGTTAAACCAATCTTGTATCCAAGAAATAAAGAGGAATAAAGCCTACTTGATTGTGATGAATTAACTTTTTTATGTGCTAATGGATTTGTTTTCTATGTGTCTCATGTATTTCCTCCTCTTTTTCTTCATTACTGCCTTATTTTTTGTTAGATATTTATACTGCGTCCTTTCCATTCGCTTGTTGCTTATTTATTAAACTTTTTGAAAGATTTTCTTTGTGGCTTCAATAGAGATTAAAATTAACATCATAACTTAAAGAAATATAAATTAGAATAATATTAACTTAATAGTATAAACATATTTTGTTTTAATATAGCACATTTCTCACTCATCTTTTGTATGAAAAAATTTTTATAATAATTAAAATTTTATACATAGTAAGTTAGTCAATATGGTTTTAAATTACAACTTTATAAAGTTTCCATTTGAATAATATAGAAGAAAACAGTATCTAAAATACCTTTGTGTTTTATTTTATATTGAGCCATGTGGTTATAAGTGCTTAGAGTGCAGATTTGAGTTATTATTTATTATTCCTTTATTTCAGCCTAAACAGCTTTTATTACTTCTTGAAGAGCAGGTTGATGTCACAGAATATCTCAGCTTTTGTGTATCTCAAAATATCTGAATTTCTCCTTCATTTTTGAAGCGTAATTTCTAGATATAATTTTTGTTGTTGGCAGTCCTTTTTTTTCCCCACTATGTTAAATACGGTACTCCACTTCCTTCTGGACTACATGTTTCTTGTAAAAAAGTATTTGGTTTGCTCTTGTTTCCTTCTCCTAAAGTTTGAACATTATGTGTCTAGGTGTGGATCTCTTCTATTTACTCTTATTCGAAATGTGTTGAGTGTTTTTTTGGTGTCTGTAATGTTTTTCATTAAATTTTCAAAGTTTTCAGACATTACTTTTTCAGGTAGACTTTCTGCCCCTTTCTCTCCCCACTCTCCTGAGATTTTCATTATTTGTGTATGGTTACAACTGATGAGGTTCTATAGATCTCTGAGGTTCTGTTTATTTTTCACCAATTTTTTTCTCTTTCTTAGACTGAATAGTCTCAATTGACTGACTTTGAATTTCATTAATTTTTCTTTTGTCAGCTCAAATTTGCTCTTGTACCCTTTTAATGACTTTTGTATTTCACTTATAATCTTAAACTTCAAAATTGTAGGTGTTTTTTCTTTTTTGATATTTTCTATTCTATGAAATATTGTTACCATATTTTTATTTATTTAGAATTTTTTTTATTTTTTGAGTTCATTGATAATGGCTGATTTAATATATCCATCTAGTTGTTGCATCTATGTTCCTTCTGAAACAATTTCTATGGATTTTTTTGTATGTTGGAAGCATACTTCCCTATTTATTTTCACAATTTGTATTTCATGTAAAAAGTGGGTACTTAGTTAATATAAAATGACAGCTCTGGATATGAGACGACGACTCCTTCCAGGGCTTGTTATTGCTGTTTTATTGTTGGTGGTGGTAGTGCTGCAGCTGATGTTGTAGTAACACCTTTGGATGTGTGTGGGTGTGTGTGACTTCCTTGGGCTGATTCTATAGTTTGTTTCCTCTGTAATTTGTAATCACTGAAACCACTGCTTGGTTAGCTAACTGATCAGCTAATGGTGTCCAGAGTTTTTCTTAAATGCCTTAAACCAATAAGCCTTTCACTCTTCACCAAGGAACTCTGTGTACGAGTTTGGACATACATTTAACCCCTTTCAGATAACAAGTCTGCCTTAGCATTGAATTCTTGCTTGTGAGGGGTCTCAATATTGGCCAAAGCTGAGAAATTGGAGCCCACTCAGGTCGTTCTTGGGCATGCACACAGCCCTGCATTGGAATGTGGCTCTCTAGAATAACCAGAAAAATGTCAGAGCTTTTTAAAACTCTCTCTGTCAACATCTGGCTTCTTTGAAATTCCTTTTAAGCTTTGGCCAGTCTTTAGATTGTGCCACCAGCTATCACACCACCAGATATAAAGCATCTGCAATGTTAAATAAATGGCACTGATTATTTCCAACAAATGTCGAGATAAGACTTTTCCCCAAAAGGAGCTCTGAGTTCAAACACATAACAAAAATGCACTCTAAATAGGTCTTTCTCATGGAGCTGCAAAGCAGGTCCAATAGTTGCAATGCTCTGAAAAGTAGAACTTTTAGTAACTTCAAAACTGATCTTTTCCATTTGGTGGTTTCAAGGCATCTTACTGCACATCCTGCATTTGCAATGTCAGTGGTTTTCAACACCCTTGTGTATTTATTTTCTTTGAGCTAAGATTAAATATTACAATTACTATATATATCTCCAGATTTTGGGTGTACAACTCTGAGGCATCTATATAACTTATGCCTTCCATGTTCCAAAATTCTTTTTTTAATTGCAAATAGAATTTTTATTTTCCCACACAAATTTCACTTCAGTATCTCGTCATTGTTTAGGTATATTTAGTTATGCTTGCCTAAAAGAAAATTTATCCATGACATAACTCCTGATATGTTTTTCAACCACATTTCTTAGAAATTACTCTTTTTCATACGTACTGTGCAATTCTATTTTATGGGTCTAGGTTACACATTTTCCATTCCCTTTGGATCACAAGCGTTCTTGCTTTTTTCACCTTTCTTCATCATTTCCAAGCATACACTTATAAAGTTTCTGACAAGCTAAATATAATGGCTTTTCTTCCAAACAGTATAAATATTCTTATTTCTCATTGAGTATAGGGAAATATATGCAATTTATTTTTTTGTTTGCAGTAGTTATCACAGTTTCTGACTTATTTTATACATTGGAAATACATATTTGCTGAATATTAAATCAATGAATCGTATAGCATATGATTCAGGAAACTGAGTAAAGGTGGCATAATGGGAGAACAAAAAACAGTAAATATTTTTCACCTATGGTTTGTTTTTACTATTTACAGGGTAAATAAATTAGCTTTATTGAAATGTTTTGCTTGTCATTCATTTGCTTTTACATTGTACAAATGCAAATATCCAAGCTCCTAGTCATTAAGACAAAACAAAACAGTTGGAAGTGGTGAGAAGACATTCTGTGAATAATTTAATTTATTTCAGTCAGTTACAATTACATGAATAAAATGAGTGAGCATATGCTTAAAGTATCCATTTCAGCATTATTAGTAAATTGTTAGGGAACTAATGATTAGATAATTCAGAGAGGATAAGCATTTTCACAAGAGGCGTGCCATTTAAAGTAACAACTGGCTGTCAAGCCAATTAACAGGCAGGTAAATAATTTGTGACAGAATTAAAGGTATAGTCTACAAGAGCAAAAAAAAAGCATCTAATTTTTAAATATATTTGTTATTATTTAATCTATACAATAAAATATTTTTAAAAGATTTATACAATATTTATAACCAACATCAAACCTTGTAATTGTTATTACTATTATATATATTTATTCAGATATTAAAATATACTATATATCTATCTTTTAATCAAATGGAGCTATTATGAATATATTTTTTGAACTATATGAACATTTATGAAAGTGATTTCAATTATTCTACAGCATTACTCTAAAGCCTTTTTATTATTCTCATTTATGTATGTATCATACTATGTTTAGCTTATTTCTATGATTATATTAATGATTTTTAATATAAATAATGTTCTTATAAATACTAATTCCTGCATATGATTCACATGGTGTACAAATGAGTGTGTGTATATTGTATGTCTGCATATTTCCTCAAAAATTTCAAATTTGTTAGAACATACAATATGCATATTATATAGTTCGTAATGTTACGCTATGTTTTACATATCTGCATTTGCAACACATGCTCTTATCAATATATTTATTTATTTGGTAAATAAACTTTCCAAAAATTTATCACTGTCATTGCATGTTTCAAAAACAGCTATTCTATTCTTATCAGTTCTATCGATTTATTCTATTGCATAGAATATTTGATTCTAATTTTGTGTAATTTGCTCTTTAACCAACTAATTAATATTTTTTATAGGGGAAAGCACAGTGACTAGTAAATTTTAAGTGCTGTTAAGTTATTCCACCAGGGACATATTTCAGCCAGAATGAGTTGCCTTTGTGTTTTGTCTTTATTAAATACTACGGATTTACTGATTCTTACACCGACACAAGTCAATTTTATTTTTAATTAAGGCTATGTTTCCATGATAATCAGTAATTATATAGTTGTTTAACTCTGTTGTTAAGACAGCAAGCTAAATCATTTGAAGATTAGAATAATAGATGCCAAATTAATTTTTATTACATTTAAACATTGCACTTTATATACTACCAAGTTAAAAAGAACATTTGGAGCTCTATGATATTTTGATGTAATTTTTTTATTTCAATTTTTAACATATATTCATTTCTGTAATTGCTTGACATATTTAAAAATGCATATTTAATATAACAAAATGACATTTCTACTGATATAGTTAAATTAATTTGTGCTTATTTTTAATAATCCATCTTATACACAAATACCAAATAAGTCGTATTTTCTGCCATTCCACAGAAAAGTATAGACAATACATAAAAATACACAGTCATAATTTTTCTTTCTTTTTTTTTTTTTTTTTTTTTCCTGAGACAGAGTCTAGCTCTATCACCCAGGCTGGAGTGCAGGAGTACAGTGGCACCATCTTGGCTGCAACCTCTGCCTCCTGGGCTCAAGCAATTCTTTCTCTTCAGCCTCCTGAGTAGCTGGGATTACAGGTGTGTGCCACCATGCCTAGCTACATTTTGTATTTTTCGTAGAGACAGGGTTTCACCATATGGGCCGAGCTTGTCTCTAACTCCTGGCCCTAAGTGATTTGCCAGCCTCGACCTCCCAAAGTGCTGGGATTAGAGGTGTGAGCCACTGTCCCCGGCCCAATTGTAATTTTTCTAATTATTTTTCAAATAATGAATGCTTATGCCTTGTTAAACACATGCACACACATAATAAACACACACATATGTTTAGAGGGGAATGTAAAAAAAAAGAAAATAAATAAAAAAATCACTGTCCATTAGGTACACAGCTTTCTATCCCAGAAGTAACCATGCCAACCAAGATCTAATATTTTCTTCTGAATTTCCAGAGCTCATCTATTCATTTAAAAATATAGTACTGTGTAGGGATGGGCCGGGACTGAAAGGTGTGTAAATAGTTATGTGCTTAATACTATATTGCCTGCTTTTCCCTTGCTAACTACTTTTTTTTCTTAATTGGTTATGATTTACAGAATAGACTACATGGAGCTTCAATTCTATTGAGATGTTGACCACTATAACTTTATCTTGAAACAATTTATTATACATAACTAGACAAACGGTTGTACATTAATAAATTATCAAACACTTTGGGAGGCTGAGGCAGGCAATCACCCAAGTTCAGGAGTTCGAGACTAGCCTGGCCTACATGGTGAAACCCTGTCTGTACTAAAAATAGAAAAATTAGCTGGGTGTGGTGAACCGAGCCTGTAGTCCCAGCTACTCAGAAGGCTGAGGTGGGAGAATAGCTCAAACCTGGGAGGCAGAGCTTGCAGAGATGAGATAGGGCCACTGCACTCTAGCCTGGGCAACAGACCAAGACTCTGTTTCAAACAAACAAACAAAAAATCAAACAATACTATGATAGTTTTAAAAAATATGTATTTCCAAATATTTGTAAGTTTATATCTAAAGTATAATTTTACCCATACTACAAATTAACATTTTAAAGCAGATATTGCCAACGTTTTCGCCAAAGATATTTAATATTTGTAATATTTAATACTTTTTAGTACTTTTACTGCCACCTGGAATTCGTGCAACACCTATTTTTTTCATTTCTTCATCTACTTGAAGTGTCCTTAACTCTTTATCATTTTTATCTTTGCTATTTACATAAGTAAAAACTAGGTCATCATAATTTTAATTTGCATTTTGAAATTAAAAATTTAAGACTCTTTTCAAATGAGTAGAGTCATTTTATTTCCCTTTCAATTCTAATTGTACATTCACACATATATAGTCATTTGTTAATATGCAGTATATAAATGTAAATATATTATACAAAATCTAGCAAAATTTATTTTATTGATATTTAATCATTTGAAGATTTCTGAATAAATCTATTGTATAACGATTTCCACAGTTAATGTTAATAAAATTATAGATTCATTAGCCACAATTTTGACACCTCAGTTTAAGATTTATTACTTGAAATATGTTTTGAATCACTTGAAGTTTTACAACATGCAAAAGTTTCTAATAATCTTTCAAAATGTTTAATGTTAAAGTTGTTTGAAAAAAAAGTACCTTCTTTATCTTCCAAACCTATAGAATTTCAGCTATAAATTATTAGTAGCATGATGCAACAATCTTTTAAATTATCTACACTCACCTAAAGTTTTTATTAAATTAATATTTCTAATTAACAAATAAAACATGCATATCTTATGCAATAACTATGCAATAAATCTTAAAAATGGAAGACAATATATCTGATTTTCATAGCTAATAATCTGACTTCTTACAAATATATAGTTCTGAATAAGTAGATAATTCTCTAGGCAAAAGGAATATAAGGAGAAATAGAAAACTATATTTCCCTTGTTTCTAGTCAGACTTATATGCCTAAAGTAATAAAGTATTTATAAAACAATCAAAAATATTTCAGAATGTTTAATTTGCTCAAAATATCCCGAGTACTTATGTGATTGACAATGAATTTCATTTAGTAGTAATTGTCTGAATTGGCAATTTAAAATCATTTTTTTCTGTCATTTATTGGTTGTACTGAATTGTTATATTAATATGCTATCTAGTTCCATTCCAATAAAATACGTCAGTTCATTTAGGTTTCAAAGTTAAATAACATGTTTGACCGTTGGTGGGGGGTCTTTCATAGATCATGTTAATTTACTTACAGGACAATGCTGTAGAAGTAATGCCATGTAACGCCATGTAATTCCACAATATAGCCAGTGGTGCTGACCACTTAGAGCTGACTATAATTTCAAAAGTTAATGTGCTTCCTTGATAGGTTTTGTGGCATTTTTATTGCATTGTTTATTGAAAAAACGAACTATCTTATTTGACTGAATATAAGCTTTACTCAGTTAAAAATAAACTTTATGATAGTTTAATCTGTTACAATTTGTGACAAAATAATCTATGGCACAATCACTATAACTCAAATTCTCAGAAATTTTACTAATAATCCATTTAATGTTTCCATGGAAGTGAACATTTATACCTCAGGGAGGCTGACAGCCACAATTAAAGTCAAAATTGACAGCAACTTCATTATTTCAAAAAGGCATTCAAGCAGATTTCTCCTATTTGTAAATTGGACATAAAAGTTTCATTTAATTATATGGTCACACAAGTAAGGATGAAATTCCCTATCATAATGTACATGGTAAGACCAATGTTGTTCCTGAAGTTTTAATGATAAAATTTGATAGAATAACTTGAAATAGCAGTGTGCAGGGTTATACATGTATGCCAGTTGTTACTGTCAGCAAAGATTTGGATATCAATAGAATTTTTTATTTTCTATTTGTCCACTAAATTAGCTATTTCTTTTCAGTCATTTACGGGGAAAAAAATTTGCTTGCCTATAAAGTTCAAAGGATAATAAGATATAAATAGTAATAAAAGCAAGAATGGACATTGATGCTATAAAATGTTTGCTAACAAGCTAAAAAAATGTACCCTCATCACCCACATGTGGTTTTTTGTATTATTTTTGCCTTCATATTCATAATCATTTAAAGAGAAATTTAAAAATGTTATGTAATGACTATAAACTGAAAATAATTAAATAATCAAAGCCTCTTAATATAATTTTACTCCTAAGATTTTTCCCAAACTCTTAGAGATCAGCAATTTCTATGGTTATGAGAGTCATGTCTGTATGTATGCATTAATACTCATCATAGTATTAATCTAATTTTTTTTTAATCACAACAAACTTCAAAACCTTCCGAAACGAAATTTTCCCTGACACCTCTGCGCCTCAGGACAGGAGTTCCTCACTTACTCAGCCTGCAGCTCTCAACCCCTCATGGAAGGGGGAGCATGCAGGTGAGTGCGTGCAGGAGCTGAGTGAGTGCTTCTGGGCACCGGCAGGAGCAAAACTCTTGTATGGGCCACATGGCAGCATCTAATGGGGGAGTACCCGTGACTCCCGAAGCCTCAGAGGGCATGTGTGACAGTGTGCACTTTTAGCTTTGCCATCCGTGGACAGCTTAAGTGTTATACAGCTCACTGGGCTCTCTGCCTTTTCACGTGAGGCAGTTGCTTTCCACCAGCGAGGGCAGAGAGTCAGTGTGACAGCCTTTAGCTCACACCCATGGCACCCGAGCTCTTGTTGGGCATCCAGGAAAAATCAGGCCACAGGAGCAAATTGAAGGGTGGTGAATACGGAGGATTTTAATGCAGATGAAAGTGTCTCTCAATGGGAAAGGGAGCTGGAAGGGGAATGGAGTGGGAAGGTGATCTTTCCCTGGAATCCTCTCCGAAACAACACCATCAAGAAGCTGTCCCTCTGAAATCATGCTGCTTCTCTCTGATGTGAAACCACAGTCTCCAATGTCCAGATGTCCAACTGCGTCTCCTCTTCTCCTCTTCTCTGCTCTCTGCCAGTCAGGTCATGGTTTTGTTGTTGTTGTTTTTGTTGTTGTTGTTGTTGTTGTTTAATTTTAATTTTTATTTTTGGCTCACTGCAACCTCCGCCTCCCGGGTTCAAGAAATTCTCCTGTCACAGCCTCCTGAGTAGCTGGGACTACAGGCCCCCACAACCGCGCCTGGCTACTTTTTGTATTTTTAGTAGAGACAGGGTTTCACCATATTGATCAGGCTGGTCTCAAATTCCAGGTCAGTTGTTTTTATGGGAACAGGATATGGGGCAGAGTGGGCCATAGGTGGTTTTGGAAGAGGCAACATTCAAATGGGAAAACAGGAATGTATGTTCTCATTTTGGGCTAAAGTTTTAGATTTGAGGATGGGGCCCTCGTCAGGGACCCCACCCTTTTCGGCCTAGAATTCCTCTGCCTCCTGTATCTATCACTTCTACCCACAGTGTGTATGTACGTATACATATATATCTCATAACAATTGTTACTTCTGAGAAGTGGCCATGATAAATCTTTCAGAGGTGATTAAAATGTTTTATATTTTGATAAAGGTTGGAGCTACAGAGGTTTTGAATTTGTCAACACTCATTAAAAGGGTAGCTTAAGACTTGTGCATTTCTTTGTAAATATCACCTCAAATACACAAAATAAAAGGAGGACCATTACCATATATTGATTTCTTACTATTTTATATGCATGCTGAAGCATCTGGGAAAAGTAAACTGATGTCTGAATTTTGAAACTAATAAATCATAAGCCTTATAAATGGCATAAATTGAAGGATAGATGGGCTATGTCTGTTGAAATAATGAGGTAAAATTTTATTTGTAGAATTTAGATAGTGGGACACGAGTATTCACTACAAAACTGTTTTAACTATTTTATAATCAAAACTTTTAATAATAAAATGTTGTTAACAATAAAAACAAAATATATAAGCTCCTTGTAATATCTGGGTGTCATTATTTCCTTCATTTTAAATGTATAATCTAAAGGTGTGATTAAAAAATTATGACACAAATAAGGTAAGTGAAAAGTTTGCAGAGTAACCATCTGTGATGCATAGAGTTTACTGTTGTATTTTCTTGGCTTTTATTTTCTTATAATTTTAGCTTCTATATATTGTGAGTTTTTCTAATTTTTTCATTTACAAAAATTATATATTCTTTTATTATTTTCTAATTCTGTTACTGCATTACCTGCTGTGTTTTTAAAATTCTCTTCTTTCTTCTAGTAATTTTCATTTGTGAAATGATCTTTTGTGTCTCTAATTTCCTCCCCTCCATTCTGATATCTTATTTTCAGATTTGCTAATTTTTCTAAGTGTTCTAATATTTTTCTTACTTTATTTTGTCTCATTTTGAAATATTAAAGCTATACTTTGTTTCTGTTTGTGTGAATGTTTCCTGACATAATTTTATTATTTGAAATAATATTATTCTAGTCCTTATTCCTTATTTTATTATAATAACCTTGTATTTGATTCAATAGCAATCCTTTGTATTGTTCCTTTTGATGTGTAATTTGCCTTTCTGATTTACTGGAAGGAAGTATGTGTTTCAATGTCTTTTATAGATTCATAGCTTTACAATTTCCTCTTTGGTTCTTTTTATAAAGTGTTAAAATTTGTGGCCTCTGCTTTCTTAAGACCTCTCAGTTCTCTTTTGGGATCCCACTCTCTACCATTGAGCAACTCTTTCTTTACTCTTTTTTGTGTCTTTGTGGCACCAACTGGGTTCTATCTCCAACAGTTTCCCTACACTATAACATGGGACACCATTCCAAATGAGCGGCTGATGACTGGTTTTGAGATTTCATGGAACTAGATTTTTTTAGCCCATTTGATCCTCACTGTGGATTCTTGCACTCATCCTGAATTGAAGGCAATCCAGTTTTAGTTGTGTAAACTGGTTTGCTCTATTTTCCAAAGATAACCTGTTGGCTAATCCGCAGTTTCTCTCCTGTCAAGTATGTGTGCCACTTTTTTGAATCTTCTGTCCACACAAATGCTCATATCATGAAAACATGTTCCTTTTTCTTGAATGTGTGTATTTGAATATTCATAGATATAGCTTTTTATGTACTTTTGTTGTAGATATGGTCCATCAGTTTTGTTTCTGCTATTCAATATACTCTGACATTTTCACTTTATTAGAAGAAACAAGATTAAAAACTATACTGTAACAGTTGTCATCACTAGCTTTTTGTAACACTTTTTAGTTTTAAAAAAAGTTTTTCTGTTTCTTATCTAAAAATTAATCTTTCAATAATTTTATTTATGTATTATATTCTATTAATTTAGACTAGCATATCATTTTGTGTATTTGATTTTTTAAAAAATTTCTTCATTTAAAATTTATATTTTACAACAATATTTTTTACATGTAAAACTATATAAACCTAATAGTAAAATAATTAAATGAAT